>NC_000013.11:70983863-71135378 GCF_000001405.40 Homo sapiens | reverse complement strand
GTTGTTTTTATAGTATCTTTTTAAATCCTTTTACTTTCAATCTATTTAGATCTTTGGATATAAAGTGTATACCTACAGAGAGCAAAAAGCTGGTTCTTATCTTTTAAAGAAATACAGTCTGTTAACCTCTGCACTTTGACTGATTGTTAATTCATTAACATTCCTGTTATTATTACTATAGTTGAATTTACATCTGCCATTTTTATTTTTGTTTTATATATGTCTTATGTCTTTTTTGTTCATGTGTTCTTACTTTACTGTCTTCCCTAATTTTAAATTGATATTGTCAACTGTTACAATTCCATTAGTAATTTTATAATTCTAATTTGAAATTATTATCTTCAAGTTTGCTCTAGGACATTCAATAAATATCTAAATTTTTGAAAATTGACTTCAGATTTATACTAATTTAATACCAATGAACATATAATCTTCATTCTTATATAGTGCCCCTCCTTCCTGCTTTTTGTGCATTTTTGTTAAACGTATTGTTATGAATGTTTTCCTCCAGAAAGATATATTGATGTTCAAACCCTCTGTGCCACAGAATGTGATCTTAATTGGAAATATAGTCATTGCATATGTAATTAGTTAAGCTAAGGTCATACTGCAGTAAAGTGAGAGTTTAATTCAATATGACTGATGTCCTTACAGAAAGAAGGTGTGATGACATAGATTCTCAAGGGCAATGCCAAGTGATGACAGACACAGCCACTGGAGTGATACAGCCATAAGCCCAGGAACACTAAGGATCCACAACCACCATCAGAAGCCATGAAGATGCAAGAAAGGATTCTCCCCTACATGTTTTGGAGGAAGCGGGGTTCTGCGGCCACATTTATTTCAGACTTCTAGCTTCCACAATTATAAGAATTAATTTCTGTTGTTTGATTTTCTTAACTATGTATTATTTTTACTATTATTCTTAGAAAAATTCTTAAGGAGACATGTTTTTTAATTGTGGTAAAGTATATATAAAATTTACTATCATAACCATTTTTAAGTGTACAGTTCAGTAGTGTTAAGTGCATTCATACTGTGGTGAAAAAAATCTCCAGAGCTCTTTTTATCTTGCACAACTGAAACTCTTTATACCCATAAAACACTAAGCTCACATTGCCTCCTACCTCCCAGTCCATGAGAGCCACCATTCTACTTTCCATCTCTGTGAACTTGCCTATTCTAAATACCTCATATAAATGGAATCATACAGGGTTTGCTGTTTTGTGACTGGCCCATTTCACTTAGCAAAATGTCCCCAAAGTTTACTCATGTTGTAGCATGTATCAGACATTCCTTCCTATTTAGGATGAATAATATTCCATTCTATGTGTATATTGCGTTTTGCTTGCTTACGGACATTTGGGTTGGTGCTATCTGTTGGCTATTGTGAATAATGCTGCTGTGAACATGAGTGTACAAATCTCTCTCCAAGACCCTACTTTAAATTATTTTTGGTATATACCCAGAAGTGCAATGGCTAAATAATATAGATGTCAACAGAAAGAGTCGAACTCTTTTTTCTGTTGTTTTAATCAACTCAGTTTGTGGTACTTTGCTACAGCAGTCCTAGGAAACTGATGCACATGTAATGAATTGTTATAACTTTATGTATTAGTAACAAGCTGCCATAGATTTAGTAGATTAACAGTTCATATTAATTATCTTATAGTTCTGTGGGTTAGAAGTTGGACATAGGTATCATTATGCTAAAATCAAGGTGTTGGCTGAGCCACATTCATTTTTGTAGGCTCTTCGGAACAATCAATTGCTTTCCTTTATCCAGCTTCCAGGTAACACCTGCATTTCTTGGCTGATGGCCTCCTACCTCCATCTTGAAAACCAGTAGCAATGAATTGAGTCCATTTCATATTGCACTTTTTGAACACTCTTCTCTTCCTCCTCTTCTTTCACTTTTGAGGACCGTATGATTAAATTTGGCCCAAACTAAATTGGATCAAAATCGCCTCTGTAGGTATTCATTTCTTCCTGTGGCTTAATTTATCTAGTGTCATTCCTTTCTCCAATACTCAGTTATTACCTCTTGCCTACTTTATGCTGTTATTATTGAAAAGATTGCACATCTACTGTGGGATGCCCTCCTCCTCCCAAATCCATGTATTTAAGTCATAATCCCCAGTAGATCAGAATGTCACCATATTTGGAGCTAAGGTCTTTAAGGTAAAATAAAATATTTAGGGTAGGCCATAATCTAATCTGATTGATATCCTTATAAGAAGAGAAAATTTGGATACAGGCATGTACATGTGCATGCACAGAGGAAGGATATTCCAAAGACAGAAAAAGAAGATAGCAATTTAAAAGTCAAGGAAAGAGGCCTCAGAAGAAATCAGTTCTGCCAACACCTTGATCTTGGACTTCTAGACTTCAGAAACGAGAGAAAATAAATTTCCGTTGTTTAAATCACCCAATCTGTGATACTTTGTTATGGCAACACAAGAGAACTAATATAATGTGTATGTAGTGTAAGCCCAATAATAAAATTTTATCTGTACATGTGTATATCCATATCTATATCTGGAATCCACACAGAAGACTGAATGTTGGAAAAGGTAATTATGTATGTAATTATAAAAGACAGTATAGTAAATGAACTTATCTCCAACTATACAGGTAACTAGTTTTCTAAGGCTGCCCCAACAAAGTTTCACAAATTGGGTTACTTGAAACAGCAGAAATTCATTCTTGCTCAGTTTCGGAGACTAGAAGTCTGAAACCACGGTGTCTGCAGGATCATGCTCTCTTTAGACTCCATGGAATTCTTCCTTCTTCTTTGCCTATTCCTAGCTTCTAAGGGTGGTCCTAATTGTTAGTGTTCAATGGCTTAGAGCTACATCATTCTAGTCTCTGCCTCTGTCATCACATAAACTTTTCCCTGAGTGTCTATATATCGTTACATAGCTATCTTCTCTGTGTCTCTCTCCTTTTATTATAAGGACACCAGCAATATTAGATTAGGACCCAATTCAGTATGATATTGGCTGTGGGTTTATCATAAATAGCTCTTATTATTTTGAGATACAGTCCATCAATACCTAGTTTATTGAGAGCTTTTAGCATGAAGTGGTGTTGAATTTTATTGAAGCCCTTTTCTGCATCTACTGAGATATTCATGTGGTTTTTGTCATTGGTTCTGTTTATGTGATGGATTATGTTTATTGATTTGTGTATGTTGAACCAGCCTTGCATCCCAGGGATGAAGCTGACTTGATCGTGGTGGATAAGCTTTTTGATGTGCTGTTGGATTCGGTTTGCCAGTATTTTATTGAGGAGTTTCACATCGATGTTCATCAGGGATATTGGCCTGAAATTTTCTTTTTTTGTCATGTCTCTCTCTCTGCCAGGTTTTGGTATCAGGATGTTGCTGGCCTCGTAAAATGAGTTAGGGAGGGGTCTTTCTTTTTCCATTGTTTGGAATAGTTTCAGAAGGAATGGTACCAGCTCCTCCTTGTACCTCTGGTAGAATTCAGCTGTGAATCTGTCTGGTCCTGGGATTTTTTTGGTTGGTAGGCTATTAATTACTGCCTCAATTTCAGAACTTGTTATTTGTCTATTAAGAGATTTGACTTATTCCTGGTTTAGCCTTGGGAGGGTGTATGTGTCCAGGAATTTATCCATTTCTTCTAGATTTTCTAGTTTATTTGTGTAGTGGTGTTTATAGTATTCTCTGATGGTAGTTTGTCTTTCTGTGGGATCAGTGGTGATATCTCCTTTAACATTTTTTATTGTGTCTATTTGATTCTTCTCTCTTTTCTTCTTTATTAGTCTGATTAGTGGTCTGTTTTGTTAATCTTTTCAAAAAACCAGCTCCTGGAGTCATTTATTTTTTTAAAGGGTTTTTCACGTCTCTCTTTCCTTCAGTTCTGCTCTGATCTTAGTTGTTTCTTATCTTCTGCTGGCTTTTGAATTTGTTTGCTCTTGCTTTTCTATTTCTTTTAATTGTGATGTTAGGGTGTTGATTTTAGAACTTTCTTTCCCACTTTCTTCTGTGGGCATTTAGTGCTATAAATTTCCCTCTAAACACTGCTTTAGCTGTGTCCCAGAGATTCTGGTACATTGTGTCTTTGTTCTCATTGATTTCAAAGAACTTATTTATTTCTGCCTTAATTTCGTTATTTACCCAGTAGTCATTCAGGAGAAGGTTGTTCAGTTTCCATGTAGTTGTATGATTTTGAGTGAGTTTCTTAATCCTGAGTTCTGAATTTGATCGTACTGTGGTCTGAGAGACTGTTTGTTATGATTTCTGTTCTTTTGCATTTGCTGAGGAGTCTTTTACTTCAAATTATGTGGTCAATTTTAGAATAAGTGCGATGTGGTGCTGAGAAGAATGTATATTTTGTTGATTTGGTGTGGAGAGTTCTACAGATGTCTATTAGGTCTGCTTGGTCGAGAGCTGAGTTCAAGTCCTGCATGTCCTTTTCAATTTTCTGTCATTCTGTCATTTCTGTTCATTGATCTGTCTAATATTGACAGTGGGGTGTTAAAGTCTCCCACTATTATTCTTTGGGAGTCTATGTCTCTCTGTAGGTCTCTAAGGACTTGCTTTATGAATCTGTGTGCTCCTGTATTGGTTGCATATGTATTTATCATAGTTTCTTCTTCTTGTTGCATTAATCCCTTTACCATTATGTAATGCCCTTTTTTGTCTTTTTTTTAATCTTTGTTGATTTAAAGTCTGTTTTGTCAGAGACTAGAGTTGCAACCCCTGCTTTATTTGCTCTCCATTTGCTTGGTAAATATTCCTCTATCCCTTTATTTTGAGCCTATGTGTGCCTTTGCATGTGAGATGGGTCTCCTGAATACAGCACACCTATGGGCCTTGACTCTTTATCCAATTTGCCAGTCTGTGTCTTTTAATTAGGGCATTTAGCCCACTTATATTTAAGGTTAATATTGCTATGTGTGAATTTGATCCTGTCATTATGATACTAGCTGGTTATTTTGCCCATTAATTGATGCAATTTCTTTATAGTGTCAATGGTCTTTACAATTTGGTATGTTTTTGCAGTGGCTGGTACCGGTTTTTCCTTCCCATATTTAGTGCTTCCTTCAGAAGCTCTTATAAGACAGGCCCGGTGGTGACAAAATCTCTCAGCATTTGCATGTCTGTAAAGGATTTTAATTCTCCTTCGCTTATGAGGCTTAGTTTGACTGGATATGAAATTTTGTGTTGAAACTTCTTTTCTTTAAGAATTTTGAATATTGGCCCCCACTCTCTTCTGGCTCATAGGATTTCTGCAGAGAGATTTGCTGTTAGTCTGATTGGCTTCCCTTTGTGAGTAACCCGACCTTTCTCTCTGGCTGCTCTTAACATTTTTTCCTACATTTCAACCTTGGTGAATCTGATGATTATGTGTCTTAGGGTTGCTCTTCTCAAGGAGTATCTTTGTGGTGGTCTCGGTATTTCCTGAATTTGAATGTTAGCCTGTCTTCCTAGATTGAAGAAGTTCTCCTGGATAATATCCTAAAGAGTGTTTTCCAACTTGGTTCCATTCTCCCCATCACTTTCAGGTACCAATCAAACGTAGGTTTGGTCTTTTCATATAGTCCCATATTTCTTTGAGGCTTTGTTCATTCCTTTTCATTCATTTTTCTCTAATTTTGTCTTCACACTTTATTTCATTAAGTTGATCTTCAATCTCTGATACCCTTTCTTCCACTTGATCGATTTGGCTACTGATACTTGTATATGCTTCACGAGGTTCTCATGCTGTGTTTTTCAGCTCTTTTGGGTCATTTATGCTCTTCTCTAAACCGGTTATTCTAGTTAACAATTCATCTAACCTTTTTTCAAGGTTCTTAGCTTCTTTGCATTGGGTTAGAACATGTTCCTTTAGCTTGGAAGAATTTGTTATTACCCACTTTCTGAAGCCTACTTCTGTCGATTCATCAAACTCATTCTCCATCCAGTTTTGTTCCCTTGCTAGTGAGGACTTGTGATCCTTTGGAGGAGAAGAGGTGTCTGGTTTTTGGAATTTTTAGCCTTTCTGTGCAGTTTTTTCCCTCATCTTTGTGTATTTACCTACCTTTGGTCTTTGATGTTGGTGACCTTTGGATGGGGTTTCTGTGTGGACGTCCTTTTTGCTGATGTTGATGCTATTCCTTTCTGTTTGTTAGTTTTCCTTCTAACAGCTAGAAGCATTCCCTTTGAAAACCGGCACAAGACAAGGATGCCCTCTCTCACCACTACTATTCAACATGGTATTGGAAGTTCTGGCCAGGGCAATCAGGCAAGGGAAAGAAATAAAGGGTATTCGAATAGGAAGACAGGAAGTCAAATTGTCTCTGTTTGCATATGACATGATTGTATATTTAGAAAACCCCGTCATCTCAGTCCAAAATCTTCTTAAGCTGATAAGCAACTCAGCAAAGCCTCAGGATACAAAATCAATGTGAAAAAAATCCCAAGCATTCTTGTACACCAATAACAGACAAACAGAGGTCCAAATCATGAGTGAACTCCCATTCACAATTGCTACAAAGAGAATAAAATACATAGAAATACAACTTACAAGGGATATGGAGGACCTCTTCAAGGAGAAATACAAACCATTGCTCAAGGAAATAAGAGAGGACACAAATGGAAAAACATTCCATGCTCATGGATAGGAAGAATCAATATCGTGAAAATGGCCATACTGACCAAAGTAAGTTATAGATTCAACGCTATCCCCATCAAGCTACCTTTGACTTTCTTCAAAGAATTAGAAAAAAAAACTTCTTTAAATTTCATATGGAACCAAAAAAGATCCCATATACACAAGACAATCCTAAGCAAAAAGAACAAAGCTGGAGGCATCACCTTACCTGACTTCAAACTATACCACAAGGCTAAAGTAACCAAAACAGCATGGTACAGTACCAAAACTGATATATAGACCAATGGAACAGAACAGAGGCCTCAGAAATACTACCACACATCTACAACCATCTGATCTTTGACAAATCTGACAAAAACAAGCAATGGGGAAAAGATTCCCTATTTAATAAATGGTGTTGGAAAAACTGGCTAGCCATATGCAGAAAACTGAAACTGGACCCCTTCCTTACACCTTATACAAACATTAACTCAAGATGCATTAAAAACTTAAATGTAAGACCTAAAACCATAAAAACTCTAGAAGAAAACCTAGGCAATACCATTCAGGATATAGGCATGGGCAAAGACTTCATGACTAAAACACCAAAAGCAATGGCAACAAAAGCCAAAATTGACAAATGGTATCTAATTAAACTAAAGAGCTTCTGCACAGAAAAAAGAAAGAAAGAAAGAAAAAAAAACTATCATCAGTATGAACAGGTAACCTACAGAATGGGAGAAAATTTTTGCAATCTATCCATCTGACAAAAGGCTAATATCCTGAATCTACAAGGAACTTAAAGAAATTTACAAGAAAAAAAAACAACCCCATCAAAAAGTGGGTGAAGGATATGAACAGACACTTCTCAAAAGAAGACATTTATGTGACCAATAAATATACAGAAAAAAAGATCATCATCACTGGTCATTAGAGAAATGCAAATCAAAACCACAAAGAGATAGCATCTCACACCAGCTAGAACGGTGATCATTAAAAAGTCAAGAAAAAACAGATGCTGGAGAGGATGTGGAGAAATAGGAATGTTTTTACACTGTTGGTGGGAGTGTAAATTAGTTCAACCGTTGTGGAAGACAGCGTGGCAATTCCTCAAGAATTGAGAACCAGAAATACCATTTGACCCAGCAATCCTATTACTGGGTATATACTCAAAGGATTATAAATCATCCTACTATAAAGTCACTGCACACATATGTTTATTGCAGCACTGTTCACAATAGCAAAGACTTTGAACCAATCCAAATGCCCATCAATGATAGACTGGATAAAGAAAATGTGGCACATTTACACCATGGAATACTATGCTACCATAAAAAGGATGAGTTTATGTTCTTTGCAGGGACACAGATGAAGTTGGAAACCATCATTCCCAGCAAAATAACACAGGGACAGAAAACCAAACACCATACGTTCTCACTCATAAGTGGCAGTTGAACAATGAGAACACATGGACACAAGGAGGGCAACATCACACACTGGGGCCTGTCGGGGGGTGGGGGGTTAGGACAGGGATAACGTTAGGAGAAATACGTAATGTAGATGATGGGTTGATGTGTGCAGCAAACCACCATGGCATGTGTATACCTATGTAACAAGCCTGCACATTCTACACATGTACCCCAGAACTTAAATTATAATTTAAAACAAAAGGGCTAACCCTAATAACCTCATATTAACTTGATTATTTCTACAAGGACTATTTCTATATAAGGTCACATACACAGGTACCCAATATTAGGACTTAAACTTACCTTTTGGAGGAACAAAATTTAACCCAATCTTTCTATCTATCTTTTTATCTATCTAACCTTTTTTATCTGATATCTATTTAATCCATATATTTATGTATCTGTCAATCATCACCAACATCACCTATCTAGTTTTCTGCAATTAATTTTAATCTTTTAACCAAAAAGGAAATTAATATGATCATAATTAAAAAAAATTAGTTACCTACATAGTTTCCTTTACCAACACTCATTTTGTGTGTGTGTGTCTGTAGGTTTGGATTCCCATGTGTTGCCACTGGTTTTAGCCTAAAGGACTTCTTTAGTATTTCTTGCAAGGCAGATATCTTTTAGTGAAAAATTCAGTTTTTGCTTATCTTACAAGGATTTTATTTTGTCTTCATTTTTTGAGAAATAGTTTTTTCTGGGTATAAGATTATTTATTTCTTCCTTCCTTTCTCCCTTTCTTCTTCTATGTCTTTTTATCTCCCTTCTTCTCTCCCTCTTTCTCTCTTAAACTTCAAATAAATCATCCCACTGTCTGTTGTCTTCTGAGAAGTAGCTGTTAATCTTAATGGACCTTTCTGGTATGTAATGAGTTCTTTTTCTCTTAATGCTTAAAACATCTTATTTTTACCTTTGGCTTTCAGCATTTTGGCTGTTATGCCTGGCTGTGGATCTCTGCATTTTGGCTGTTATGTCTGGCTGTGGATCTCTGCATTTTTTCTAATTGAAGTTTGCTGAACTTTTTGAATACGTAGATTGTTATTATTTTTAATCAAATCTGGCAGGTTTTCAATTATTATTTCCTCAAAAAGTTTTCCTTCCACTTTCTTTTCTTCTCTCCTTCTGGCACTCCCAGAAGCATTTGTCAGTGCACTTAATGATGTCCCACATTTCTCTAAGAGTGCTTATTTGTCTATATATTTTTTTCTACTTGGTCTTCAGATTGCATAATCTCTATTGACCTATATTCAAGTGTGCTGAGATTTTCTTCTGCCATTTCAAATCTACTATGAGACTTCTACTATATTTTTTATTTTATGTGATTTTCAACTACAAAACTTCCATTTGTTTCCTTTTTATAATTTATAAAAGTTTATGAATATTTTCTGTGTGATATTCTCTATTGAATGAGACATTGCCGTTGTAGCATCATTAATTCCTTAAGCATGATTATATTCAGTTCTTTGAACATATGTATAATGGCTGCTTTGAATCTATCTGCTAATGCCAACCTTTGGGTCTATTTTTTCTATATACACATTTCATATTTTCCCTTTTTCATGTCTTATGATTTCTTCTTGAAATCTGGATGTTTTGGGTAATACATTGTAACAACCCAGAACCATAATTCTTCCCCACCAGTTTGAGGTTAATGTTTTGTGTTTGTTTAGTTGTCATTAAGTTATTTGTTTAGTGATCTGGCTGAAATTACTCTGTATAGTCTTTTTCATTTCAATGTGAAGTCTCGCATGACCTTCCTTAGGTTTTGTTTCATTTTTTTCTTTTTTTTTTGTCTGACTACATAGGGATTGCCCAGGGTCAGCATAAACCACTTATTGGTCAAAAGTTGTGCTTAATTCCCACTGGAACTCTGGATATTTACTCTTTAAAATTTAATGTATATGTAGGTGGAAGCTGCTCTCTGAGGTCCAGAAGTTTACATCTCCTCCACCTGCCATTTAGTCCTGAGGTAGTAGCATAAATTTCTCACTCCTTAGAGGCAGCCTTGGGTATGTACACATTATTCCAGACTGCCAACGTTGTGCATAATTTTATTTTATTTATTTCTTAATTTATTTTGAGATGGAGTTTTGTTCTTGTTGCCCAGGCTGGAGTGCAGTGGCACGAACTCGGCTCACTGTAACTTCCGCCTCCCGGGTTCAAGCGATTCTCCTGCCTCAGCCTCCTGAGTAGCTGGGATTGCAGCCACCCACCACCACACCCTGCTAATTTTTGTATTTTTAGTAGGGCCGGGTTTCACCATGTTGGCCAGGCTGTTCTCGAACTCCTGACCTCAGGTGATCCACCCACGTATGACTTCTTAGTAACTGCTTCTGGGTCAGAGTAACCTATGTTCAGCTAGTGTTTGGTCAGAGGTTATTTTTAATCCCCTAGGTCCAGTGGGGCTTTTGCCCTTTGCTATCTGTGTGTAACTTTTGAATGTTTTCAATTTTGTCTGCTTCCCTGTTCTTAATGTGCCGCAGTTGGATTAGCCTAGGACTTGCTCATAGTTTCCCTGTATCTCACAGTTAAATGTGATCTCAGTAGATGTTTTTCTTGGATATTTCCTTCCCTGATTCTTTCTGTTACGTGTATGATTGCTGTACCATTTCACCTTTTGCTACTATTATAATAGAGCTATGTGTGCCCTCTTCATTGCTCTTTACCAAGGTCTCCATTGCTGTGGACATCTCCCCTTTCTCCCATGGGCATGGAATCCTTCACACTGTTACAAATAAAGTCATTTCTCTCATGAAGACCTGTGAAGCATTTTGTTCTTATGACATGTCTGTCCTGGTGGGCATAACCTCTACAGAGCTGCAAAAGAGCTGGAAGCAGAGACAATGGCTCATTTCTCCTGGAGTTACACAACCCTGCTCTATGAAAACATGCTGAGCAGATGCGGGGTATGTTCTCCAGTCTCCTTGGCTGGCCCCTCCTGTGTAACCTCCACCCTAAAAGCAAGATGAAATGGAATGATCAGGCCCCAGTATTCTTATCCTGTGTTTTCTGCAATAGACCTTTTGCCCTATGATTGGGACTGTGTGCTAGAAGGGAACCTTTTGGCCATGCCTACTCATAATAGAGTGTCAGCAACATAAAACTGAGGGAAATGAGAGATACCAGTAGACTCCCCATCTCGTGGCAAAGCAGTTGCTGAGAATGAAGGAAAGGGAGCCCCCATAAAGTAAAGCGTGTTGAGTATGGGGAAGAAATTGATTGTGACTGAAGTGCTGGGACTGAAATGTTCATTGTAGTTGCTAAAATTAAGGAGATTTAACTGAACAAATATTTTCCCATTTCCTGTACGCCCTTAAAACAATTTCTAGAGGCATAGAGGAATTGTTCTTCATAATTTTATATATATATTGGCGTGAGAATCTTCTATATTCCTTATTCTGCCATTCTAGAAGTAAGTTTCTCATGGAAACAAAATCATTGTTAGCGTAATTTTAATTAATAATTTATTGTCTAATTGCTAATCTCATTCTGTACTAATTTATAATTCTACCTATGTCATAAATATGAATGGATAGTTTCCAATCATACAATATCGAGCATTTGTTCAAGGACTTCCTTTAATTACTTCCATTATTATTGATCTTGTGGTGTAGGTGGGAGAAATTTGGGCAACCCTTTGGATGTTACCAATGTTTTATGTGTCAAAATTGGATTAGATACTATGCATAATGCAAATAACCATGCAATTATTTTGAATTTACAATGTATTTACTATGTAATTGCATAGTAAGTACCATATAATTACAAGATGATTACATGATTATTTCTGCCTTTTACACAGCTTTAAAAGCAAAAGATTTTGTTGCAATTATTATTGGCATTTATTGGTAAGTGTTACATAGTAGAGAACAAAATATTTATCATGCAATCAACCAAGCAAGCAACTGTTATTGGCTCCTTTCAGTTGCAAATTTATATTTAAAAGTCATTGTTGTGAATTTAAAATTACTCTAAACATAAAGTTTATTGATCAAAAAAGTTATTGTACTTGAGAAGTGCAATGCACAATTTGTTGTCTCAAAAATAGCAGATTATTCTGTACAATATTGTTTGACTATTATGATTATATAATTTGAAGTTCTGAATTTCAGATTTTTTAAAAAATATCTGAAGAAAATAGTTTCTTAGACTTTTTACACACATATACAATAATGCCATTACTGTAACTGGTTAGCATAGAAGTAATGATTTCATTCAAAGTTGAAAGATGAGGCTATAATTTTTATGTATTAGAGCCAAATATAATAATTCTAAGTATAATGAAAAATGTAGACTTAGAAAAGAAAGAAAATAAGACTGCTATTTAAGGGATCTGTGTAGTTCCAAAAAAACAAACAAACAAAAAAACAAGTGAAAGATTCAGAGTAAGTCACTCCTATTATATACATATAATTAAAGACACCAGAGAGAGCTTACTATACTTTTGATCTAAATTCTTGTGATGATTTTTAAAAGCATTGCAATGTGAGATCTAATTAGATAACATATTCGAAAATAATAAAAACAAATCAACAAAATAATTTAGGAAATGAAAAAAGCATCAAGAGAAATAATAAAATAAAATAGACTCCATCTTGGGGAAAATATTCTTCCCTACCTGGCAATGGCTACTCAAAGGCCTCAGTTGCTGACTCTGAATGCTGAATGCTTCTCTATTTCTCACATTGTATTCTGAGTAATTTGGCAACCTTTTAAATACATACAGAATTTAACCACTGCTCAACCATCCACACTGCTAATACCATAGGCTAAACAACATTTTCTTTTACGTGGCCTTGCCATAACTGCCAATATGCCCCTTCACTTTCCCCTCCATCCCCAGGCAGTTCATTCTCGACATGGCCACCGATTGATTCATTTCAAACATCAGGTAGATCACATCACTGCTCTATTCAAAACTTTTCTGTGGCTTTTTACCCCACCGAGAGTAAACTCTAAATTTGTACTAGGTCCTACAAGACTTTCACAGACTAGCCTTCTGTTCCTTCTCTAATCATCACACTTCTATTCTTGTCCCTTGCTTATCCTGGTCCTCAACCTGACAGCCATACCCCAGGCTCAAGGGCTTTGGTGTTTCCCAGACTGCTCCTCCAGAACTCCACAACTGTTGCTCTCCTACCAAATTCAGGCCTTTGATCAAATGTCCCCTTCACAGTCAGTCCTTTCTTGACTGTCCTAAAGTAGTAACCACCCTTGCTCCACACTTCCTCTTCTCCTCTCTTATTTTATCTTTCTCCATAGCCCTTATTATTATCTGACATGAAATATATTTTTCTTCTTTGTTGTTGATAGTATCCTATGTCAATTTAAGCTCGAAGGAAACATGTTCTTTTTAAGGGATCTTTTTGTTCATTTCTGTATGCCTAATACCTGGAAGAAAGCTTGATAACTCAAAACAAAAATACAAAGGATTGGGATTATCACTAAAAATAAAGTACATCTAAAAGAAAAATTCAGATAATCTTACAATAAAATTATAATAGTTCAACAGCAAAGAAAAGAAGATAGGAGAAGAGAAAATAGACAAAATAAATTCCTATAATGTTTTTCAGATTAAAAGTCCACATCAAATGCCTGGCACATTCATAAATTTATAAATAGATTTATAGACTGTAGCAATAAAAAGAAAATTCTAGAAAATTCTAGAATAGGTTATCTACATAGAACCAGAATTAGACTGCCATATTTTTAAAAACTGAAATTTAAAATACCTACAGCAATCGTTATGGACTTATAATAGAAATAACTGTGATTCTAGAAGACTATGAACATATTTATGAGGGGGACTAAAGCAACTGAGGAAGCTCCCCACCTGTGATGGACACTACTACCAGCCACTTCCATAGTGCTAAGTTGGTACCTGGGCCATGAATGCATACCTGCCCTCACCCCCGCCCTCTGGTTAGCAGATGCCATGTAACTCAGCTATTGACAGTGAGATAAGAATCAATGTGATAATGTACTGGATTTATGGCCTAAGGCCTCTGGGTTTGCTTTGTTCACCACCTTCTTTTCCTTCCCAGTTTCTACTTTCTAGAAAATTCATTGCTCAACAGTATTTAAAAGGAACCTGGATCTTTGATAAAATTCAAAAGGCAGAGATCCCTTAAACTTGCAGAAAATTCACATCAATGTAGTGAAGAAGAAACCGTCCAGAAATACAGAACCCTTGTTTCCGAGCTTCAGTGGGCAGATCAAGAGCCAGGCAAAATCAAGGATGAAAATACACACACAGATATATGTCCAGGTATAGTTCTGAAATCCAAGGCAAGAAAAATATAATTTTCAGTTTTTTAGCCCCTGAATTTTGAGTGTTTCCATCATAAAATATAGTCTTCATGGAAAATAGTATGCTCCCCATTTGCCTTTCTCTTTATAAAGATTATTTAATCAAATCTTTCATGGGAAGAAAGAATAACTTTTACTTTTAAATATACTCTTCTAACATCGTAATGATGTGAGTTATTTTTTACTTTTTTTCTAATAATAATATTGACTGTAGAAGAAAGTTAATAATCCATAATTCTAGTATAGGATGTCTAGTCAAATAATTTAGCTGAATTGGCTATTAAAAAGGGAAAATAACCAAAACAATCAGTATTTCAGAATGCTTCTTGTGGCTCGTGCATACTTAAAATAGTCTATTCCCTCAATCTTACAGCCTCAAATGATTTTTCCTTCCTTTTCTTTTTGATCTATTTTTATATATCAAATGTGTGTGTGTGTGTGTATATATATATATATATATGTATGTATTTTTCCTTTGCCTATGAGACTCAATTCAAATATCACCTTCACATGATGTTAAGTGAAATAAGCGAGGCACAGAAAGACAAATACTGCGTGATCTCACTTATATATGAAACCTAAGAAGTCAAACTCACATAAGCAGAGAGTGGAAAGATGATTACCAGGGGCTGTGGAAATGGGAGAGTTGGGTGAGGTGTTGGTCAAAGGGTACAAAATTCCAATTAAACAAGAGGAATAAGTTCAATAGCTGTATTGTACAACATAGTAGCTATAGTTAATAGCAATGTATTATATATTTTAAAATTGCTATGACAGTAGATTTTAAGTGTTTTTTTTCTACAATTAGATAAGTATGTGAGGCAATGCATATGTTAATTGGCTTTATTTAGGCATTGCACAATGTATAAATATCTTAAAGCATCATGTTGAACACCGTACATATAACCATTTTTATTTGCCAATTAAAACTTTACAAATACAGAAAAAAAAACATACATCACCTTCTCCCATAATGTTCATACTACATTATAACTTTTGTAGCACATTATTTTATAATAATCTGTTTAAATGGTACTTTCTCATTCTAGGCTATGGAAACCTTGAGAAAAGAAACGTATCCTAGGGTGACATCAATGCCTACAGTTTCAGTTTCTCTCTCAAAATTGAGAGGATGACCAAAAGGGCGTTAAATTAAGTTTAGCCTAAACCTGCCTCTTTACATATTTTAAAGGTTTCTCCATACATAGTGAACTATAACCTACCTGGATGTATAAACAGACTGTAACCTACTCTTGTGTCAGTCACCAAATATTAGCCAATTTTAGTCACGGACAGCCACTGTTCAAACTGTGTTCAAACAAGGCAAACAACCCAGCCCTTTCTTTACCTCCCTTCTGTTTTTTGTACAACACTTTCCTTTTTTTGTCCATATATCTTCCACCACGTGGCTGCACTGCGGTCTCTCTGAGCCTACTCTGGTTTGGGAGGCTGCCTCATTCATGAACCTTCTTTGCTCAAATTAACTCTGTTTAATTAAAAGAAAGAAGGAAAGAAAGAAAGAAAAGGCAAGAAAGAAAGAAAGAAAAGGAAAGAAAGAAAGAAAGAAAGAAAGAAAGAAAGAAAGAAAGAAAAAGAAAGATGTCCTATGCTGTTATTTAATGAAGAAATACCATTGACAATTATGTTCACTGTGCATACATACCATTCCCTAAGAGATACATTATATCATGTGCTGTAAAAACTAAGCCAATATTGGTAAGATAAGAATAGATGAAAAATGTAAATTCTTATATTGGAGTTCAAAATAGCAATTTTACAAGCGCAGGAAGAATTGGGCCTAGGTTAACCACGGTTCATATAAAATGGCTTATGAGATTCCGTTAAGTACACAGCATGTGAGTCAACAATGTACCATGGCTGCCAAAATAAGCAGTAAGCACAATAAAAATGTTTCATTTTGCCAGATTCAATAAACATTATTTTGCTGTTCTGATGTTCTCTAATTAGGATAATTAAGGACTGAAGTGTCAACATTGGCTTCATCTACTCGTTTCCTGACTGTTCATGGACTTTAGCCACTCGACATTCTGTTGCTCTGCATTCTGCCATGCTGATCTTTTTACACTGCCTAAGAAAGACCTATCACTTACTTACTTTTAGCTGTTTCATTGCATTTGTTAGACAGTTTTCTGTCAATGTCTATATAGACGTGATAAGATATACAGTTCTAAGAGCTAGCAGGAGATAATAAGAATTTTGCCTTAGTATCAGTTGCATCTTCTGTCCAACAGTGGCTCTAATACTTTCTGATCAGCACTAAAATTGACATGATAGATAGGAAGTATTCATTAAGACAGGATACAGTGTTGTTTGATAGGGGTCTAATGGAAAAGTAGAAATTTAAAAATTTGGGGAAAAATTCTTAAAATTACATAGTGAAAGGAAAATGTGAGAGATGTGCCTAACTGTGGTGTTGAGGAACAGGAAGTCTACATACCCGTATGTATTTCAAAGCTAACAGGCTCTCTAATGCCTAGTTATTGGTTATACAGATTGCATAATGCCACTCAATATTTGTATTTCAAATACCTTATAAGCATATTAATTTAAAATGATGAGTGTATTTTCTAATAATCTAGATTGTAATAGAAAACAAAAATGAATCAAAAAGTAAATTTCAATTAGGACTTCTAAATTATTTTTTTAAAACTTAATCTACAAGCCAATTGCCTTTTAATTGGGCCCTTGGAGTCATCCATATATATGTGTATATATATATGTGTGTGTGTGTGTGTGTGTGTGTGTGTGTATACATATATAGAGAGATCATCCATATATATGTGTTTGTATATATATGTGTGTGTGTATATATATACACAGACACTCTGTTTATATATATATATACACAGACACTGTGTGTATATATATATATATATATACACAGACACTGTGTGTGTATATATATATATATATAAACTATGTGTGTGTATGTAGTGTATTCATTTCCACAAGATACTGAAAATTTTGTATTATCTTTGTATCCTTATATATTTCCATGTAGTTATTAATAATACAGAATTGTATCAGGTGAGTTAGAACAATATTAAAAAGAGAGCCATACAAACACACACACAATGCTCTTATTTTCTCTACTTTAAACCGTGAAAAACATATTGACCTTTAGAAGCAACTGCAGATCTTCAACTCCAACCTCAAAAATACCTTTCTATGCAAAACATGACTTACTAGGAACTGCAAAAACAAGCTAATGTATTTTGACTAAAGAGTATTGATAAAACTAAGACAAACTGAAATATAAAATATTCATGTCACTCAAATTAGCTTTTCTATTGCCTTGAATCATAAGGTATATTGAAATGTATTGGTTCTTTCTTCCATAACCAGCCAAAAATCTTCTACCCCTTTCTTCTGATTTGACCAAATCCTGAATATAATGACTGGTATTTAATTTGCAGCTCATTTAATAATTTTTAAATTCAAAATCATAATTATTTCAAAGAGTTAATTCACCTACTCATGCATAATTGGATACAAATGAAAAATACATTAATTCTACAAATAAGAACTAGAAAGTCACAATGAATATTTGTTAATGTCTTTCATTTTATGGTGTTTCTTTAAAGGTGACTGATTAGTCCTGAATCCTGGACAAATTCTAGTGCAATTTGATATATGAACAATAAATACATTGAAAATATTTACAGGGACAGACTACATTCCATTCTGAAAGACAAAACTGAGGGTAGTTAAGAACATCAAGTGTTCTGAATCACTTCAACTCTGTTCACTTCAGGTCTGATCAATGACTTCCATTTATGTAATAATTTGCCACTTGTGCCTGTGGTAACAACAAAAAAAGATGTTGTCTACATGTTTTAAATATAGTAGATTAATCATATGGTAATATTTTTAAAACAAGTAAATCTTTTCAAAGTCATGTAGCTAACTGAAAGTATAAAATATTCCTTGATATATGGCTTATTATAGTTGTCTGCCTAAATGTTTCATTATGTCATCATTAATTAACACTTGTTGAACTCTTTAAAGTGAGTTACCTTATAATCACTACACGTAAGTGCACACATTTAGAGAGAATCAGGGCTTTTCCAAATTTGTGAACCTGGAGCCAAATGAATTAAATTTGTTCCTTATAATTATTTTACCACTGGGTAACACTCAAAATGCCAGGTAAAATTATGTTAAATAATGTCCCAGTTCAAATGATAAAATAATGTTTATCCATCCTAGAAGGTCAAGAGATCAATAACTCAGAGAATAACTTTCATGATATTCTCAAATCATTCTTCCATCTTTGACCAAAAACTCCCCCTCTTTTGAAGCACAGAAAATCTACCTACACTATTATGTATAAATCTTTGCCATTAAATTTGTCAATCTTAAGAGCCACCCTTCCAGACAACTGAAAATTTGGGTTCTTAACTCATATCTATCGCCCCTAAAATGTTTGCCCCCACTTCAGCAAATTCAAAAATTCAAATATTTTGGATAACCTATCAACATCCTAAATATAGCATATTGATTTTCTCAGGTCCAATACAGTTTATGCAAATAATAAATGATAAAACCATTGTAATATACACATTTTTGACCTTCTTAATATCTGAGTTTTCTACTTTTAAATTTTTGAATTATAATGACCCAATCTCTAACTTATATATTTTTTCTCTTTCATTTTCCTTCTTCTCCTTTACATAACCAAAACTCCATTTCCATTTCTATAAGTCTTTCTGCCACACAGTTACCAGTTCTTTTTAGATTCACTTTATATCTTCTTCTGCCAAAAATGCTATATTCTGTTTTTTGAATTACTGTATTTTCATTGGCTTCCCAGGTTTATTTGGTGTCAGTATTTTTGTGGCACACCTACATATACATCAATAGTTCTAAAAAATCTGTTTTATAATCTGTTCTTACTGTGATTCCCGCATTGGGTCGCTTGTATGCTCCAAGAAAAGTGTGACTAATCAAAAGATTAGTGTAACTACAAATTCATAATATCATTGTTCACATGGGCCCTCATTGTAACTTTCATTTATTTACTCACTCCCTTAAGCTTTCTCTCAGTTTCTGCTTTCTTTTCAATTAAAGGGATGATCTTGCTTTATCCATTTTATCATGAAGACAGAGAAGAACTCTTCCAACATATTTTGTCCTTAAATTGTAGTTAATGTCTTATCTAAATCAGAGTAGAAGGCATCTCATCTCCTGCCTGGGGATCAATTTTTACATGTTAATTTCTCCAAAATCCATAAACTACTTGAAGTTTTTCCCATATTAGAAACAAAAATTCTTTATTTTCCCTGACCTGCTCCCCGATTCCAGATGTATAAGTCTTAGGTGGAAAACATAAGACAAGAAACAGAGCCTGAAATACGTGACTGGGGGTACATAATTTATCAAGGAAAGAATTTTCAAGAAAACCTCAAGGGAGTAAGTAGACGAGGATAAAGAAAGGGAAAGTGCCAAGCAGGAATGTGGATTCAGGCCAAACCTAGTCTTTGCCTGACCTACATGGTGAAAGGAGAGAGATTAGGAGAATAAAGGGCTCTGCTGCATTGTCCATATTTGAGCCTAGTGGTTCACCGTTTAAAACTCCATATCAGGTGTTAATTGATTGTGATCTTCCCTCAGAGTTTATGCAAGAGTGTATAACTTCCAAGGACAATTTTCCATAAAGCGAGTGACATCTACTTGTGATAGCAGATAATATATACAGCAGCTCAGAAAATAGTCCATGACCACAGCAACAAGAATTCTGAAAAAGGCATAGCTTTTTCAAAATTTTGTGGTCAATATTCCTGAGACATTTACAAGAGGACAGTTCCTGGGAGGACTACAGTCCACCAACACCAATGCTGTAGGTAGTGCTAAGGCTGTAACTAAGTTTGTAATTTCCCTTTTTTACAACTTCTTCAGATCTCCCTCTCTCGGATAATACTTTTGCTGGATGAGCAGCTTGCGACATAGGATGACTCACACCCCAATATTGGAAGATCTTAGTGTCTGTGCCTCAGTTTACCCTGCTCTTGTCAGAAATGGATGTGCTTGTTAATTTACAGTTAAAATTGGCCAGGTGAATACCACCAGTTGTTCATCTGAATATCAGATACATTTTTTTCCGTTCCTAATTATAAAGCGGCAGTCTTATGTCTGATAATAATAAGGATCAATTATCCCTACCAGCCTGTATACTGGCATAAGGAGTCCAAAGTGATACTGCAGCCACCCTATTGGGGCTCTTATTGTGTCCCCTGTTAGAAAGATCACCCCCTGAGAATGAGGAAAGAGACTTATACATTCTTGAAGAGGTACTCATAAATAGGGTGTTACAGGCTAAATTGTGTCTCCCCAAAACGTGTATGTTGAAGCTTTTACCAAAGTACCTCCGAATGTGACTATATTTAGAATAGCCTCTTTGAAAAGGTGATTACATTAAAATGAATTTGTTACTGTGAGTCGTAATCCAATCTGACTGATGTCCTTATAAGAAGAGGAAATTTGAACACACCAAGAGACACCGGAGATGCTTGCACACAGAGGAAATGCCACGTGAGAATGGTCCCGGAAGTAATCATTTGCAAGTCAAAGATGGGCTTCAAAAGAAACCAAACCTGACAACATCTTGATTCAAGCATACAGAATGCTGAGAAATAAATTTCTCTCATTTAAACCACCCAGACTGTGTTATATTGTTATAGCAGCAACACCAAATGAATGCATGAGGAATATTTTTTCTTTTACCCCCTTATTTCTAGACTCACATGTTCTGTCTACAGGGGACACAGTGACATAATGGATAATGTTTTAAGGAGTATATTAGAGTGGTGACTTTTCTGGGCAATGCATTATTTCTTTTTATGTTTATTAATATGAGGCTTGTCTATTGCTCTTTCAGGCAAGCATCTTCTGGGTGATACAGTGGTAGTGAGACCAGTGGATTCCATGGTTGTGAGTGTGCTGTCATACAATTTTACTGTAAAATGGGTAACTTTGTCTAAGGTGACATCAGGTGATATCCCATGTCAAAGAGAAATGATACTTGCAGAATGGTGGAACAAAGGGATGTGCAAAATAGCACCCATTAAAAAAAACTCACAGTAAACTGGAAAAAATTACTTAAAGAATAAAAGAAAAATATTTCAATTCTCTAGAATTAAAAAAAAACCCAACAAATTGCAAAGCATTTGTTCAAAAAAACATCAGAAATTTGTGTAAGAACAGTGAGAATCCACGGGGTTTTAGCCTGAGATTGATCACATCCTACCCCTTTCACCCAGTCTCCCTCAGAAGTAGGTCTACTGGGGTAGGGCAAGCCATGAAAACTAGCAGTCTAACTTTGTTGCTGGACAGAGCTAACTTGATTAGAAATAAAGCATCCAAAACTCCATGGCCAAGATTACTGTTGAAAATAATATTGTTCTTGATGCAACCAATCAGGTAAGGCCAATCTTGCAGATGTCCGAAGTTGCAATACTGGTTGGGGCAAGAAATGGACAAACTGATATGCTAGGGGTTTATCAAGGAGATCTGTGGAACGAGACAGCCATAGTGGGCTTGATATGCCACCACCTATCCTAAGTGGTCTTGAAGGCTGTTCAGACATCTCCACAATGGTGCACACAAACCTAGGGGAGAGTAGAGACAGCCCCGGTTACCTACATGTCCCTGAATGTGAGACCATGTGCAGGTGCATGGAAGACATGGAAAGACCCAGCAAGAGGTAAAAACTGAGGAACATTTGTCAACTGCCTGAGATACAAATGTGTGGGCCAATCTTCCATAAATTCATTGACCAATAATGGAAATTTTACTGAATCTAGGTATTGAAGCACAATCTCTGGCCTATCATTGCCTGACAATTAAATTACATTAACTTACATCTGACCACTAGCATCCCAAACTTAATAATAAAAATAAACAAATAAATAGATAAACTAAGAAGATATTTCACTGCCTACATACTCCAGAAGAAGCAGACTACAGAATTATTCCAGGTCAGTCAATAAAAATATAAACATTAAACAACAATAACCTACAGATCAAAAAGGGATGGATGACAAAATCCAGAGTTGCTAAAATATATTATTCAAAATGTTCAATTTTTGACAAAAATTATGAGATATGCAAAAATAATGAACATGTGATAGATATACAAGAAAATAAATAAATATAATTGATTATGTAAAAAATAAATATAATTGATTATATAAAAGTCTAGATGTTGGAATTTACAAAAGTTTCAAAAGAGCTATTATAAATATGTTCAAGGAACTAAAGGAAACCATGTATAAGAAATGAAAGAAAATATGACAATGATTCATCAAATACTGAATATCAATAAAGATATTGGTATTATAAAAAACAAACCAGTAAAAATTCTTGCATTGGAAAACACAAAAACTGAGATAAAAAATACACTAGAATTATGTGAAAGACACAAATTATGAAAATCTATAATGAGATAGGAATCTACAAACCCTTTAGAAATGAAAACAACTATAAGGGAATAATAGGAACAATTTTTTCCCAACAATTTGAACAAGTTGGATGGAATGCAATTACTAGAAAGACTCAGATTACTCAAATTTACTGAAGATAAAATAGAAAATTTAAATAGACCTATAACAACTAAACAGATTGAATTAATAATTAAAAATCTTCCAAAAATAAAAACTTATATTTTCCTTTAAATGATATCAAATATTAAACAAATATTAAAAGCATAAACAAAAGTAATCATTCACAAACTCTTGCAGAAAATAAAAGAAGGACTACTTCTCAAGTCATTATGAAGTCAATAGAATTCTCAATATTAAAGCTAACCAAAGTCATCACAAGAAAAAAGCAAATCTACAGACCATTATCATTCACAAAGAGACCTAAAATCCTCCAAATATTAGCAAATTAAGACCAGCAACATATAAAAAGCATTATATTAATACACTATGACCATGTGAGATTTATCTCAGGAATGTGAGATTGGCTTAACAATAGAATATACCATATTAATAGAATAAGACCAAAAAAGTGATCATCCCATGCATAAAGCTTTTGACAATATTATTTCTTCATCCTGGGTCATGTTTTCTGCATTTTTATATGTTTGATCATTTTTATTTGAATGATGGAAGTGTGTCTTCCATCAGTCTTCTTGTATGAAGGTCGGGTCAATGCATTCAGTAGTTGAACTGGTTCTGGAATTTGTTGTTTCTTTGGTTATATTCAGCTTGCCACCACATGCTCTAAATTACTTGAGGATAGTATCCCAGTCTTCCCTTTTCAAGGATCTGAGTGCCTGAAAGGTTGATTTCTGTTCTCATGCCTTCAATTTTCAGCAGTCCCTGTTGTTCACCCATCAGGGGTTTCTTCTCAGCTCTCCTCTTTCTGCCACTCTAGTTGCTGTCACTTCTAGTGGGCTGCCTCTCCCAGTGTAAGACCCAAAATGTCTTTTGATTACCTTTCAGTTCTCCCTTTTTTTTTCCTCCAGGTTTATTGCGATATAATAGACAAATCAAAATTCAAGATGCGATGATTGTATATGCATATACATCGTGAAATTATTACCACAGTCAAGCAGATTAACAACTGCATCACCTTACATAATTACCATTTTTTTGTGTTAAGAACACTTAGATCCACTCTCTTAGCAAGTTTTAAGTAAACAGTACACTATCATTAATTATAGTCACCATGATATCCTTTAGATCCCTAGAACATATTCATTTTACAGCTAAAAGTCTGTACACTTTGACCAATATCTCACCCACTTTCTGCACCCAACCTACAAGTCCCTGGCAACCACCATTCTACTCTACTTCTATGAGTTCAACTTCTTAAAAATTCCACATAAAAGTGAGATCGTAGAGTGTTCCTTTTTCATATTCAGAATTTAGGGATGCTCCAATGCTATGTCTCAGAGAGTTTCTTCTCGGATCCCTTGTCTCTCTGCCAGACATAGATGGTAACTGTTGGCTACTTAAATTAGACCTGGAGTGCTTATGAAGTTTGTTTCTCTTAGTTCTCCTTTTCCACCTTAGAATTCTGCATGCCCTGCAAGCCTGCACCATAGTGTCCATCTCTGTCAGTCTTCCTAACCTGACTGAATTTCTCTTAAAAACACTCAGTGAAGCATTCTGGAGAAGTTGACAGAAGCTGATTCACCTTGCATCATATCACATTATATTGAGCTTTTAATTTTTCCATTAATGTTCAGCTTTTTTCTTCTTAACCTTGTCTATGGCAGCTTTTTGGCTTCCTATTATTTTGCAATCATCAAATAGCAAATATTGACTTCTCTTTTAGGAGGTGTTCATCATTTTTCCCTTTCATTACATTAGGATTATTTGTTATCTCAACATTCTAATGGAGTTTTTTAAACTATTATATTTTTAAAAGACTATCTGCTTTCTTCCCATTGTCAGATTGGGAGAAAAATTCTCTTGTGACTTTCTACATCCTCAGTGGAGTGGAAGTCCTGTTTCATTGATTTTTACTCTTATTTTTCTTGTTTGTTTTCCTTCTATTTGATTTGGGCTTCTTTTGATTATAACTGTTTAGCTTCTTAAAATGAGAATTTAGATCACTGATTTTTGTTTCTCCTAAAGAGCCTTTGTATTAGGCTCCTCTAAGAAACAGACCAATAGAATCTATTTATCTATCTGTCTGTCTGTCTGTCTATCTATCTATCCATCCTTCCATATAATGAGAAGTTGGCTCAAGTGATTATGGAAGCTGAGAAGTCCCACAATCTGCTATCTGTTAATCTGCAAGCTGGAGACCCAGGGAAGCCAGTGGTGTCTTTCAGTGTAAATCTGAAGTCCTGAGATTCAAGGGAGCCAGTGGTGTAAATAATAGTTCAAGGGCATAAAGGGATGAGATGAGATGAGATGTACTAGCTCCAGCAGTGAGGCAGAAGAAAAGGGGGCAGGAGAATTCCCTCCTCCTTACCAAGATTGGATGATGCCCACCCATAAACACACATTGAAGAGGGCCATCTACTTTGCTCAATCTACCAATTCAAGTGCTTATCTCTTCTGAAAACACCCTCACAAACACATCCAGAAGTAATTTTATCTGGGCATCTCATGACTCAGCCAAGCTTACACATGAAATTGATCATCACAGTCTATAAATTTTCTTTTTAGTACAAATTTATCTACAGTCCATAGCTTCTTTGTGTTTTGCAATTGTTTAGTTAAAATATTTTTATAATTTTCTTTAACTCAAATCATTTAGAAGGCTCTTGCTTAATTTCAAAATTTTCAAGATATATCTAACATTAATTTTTAATTTAATTATGTCAGAGAATACAACATTTATGATTTTATATATTTTCTGAAATACATTGACACTCATTTTAGGGTCCACTTTATGGTCTATTACGGTGAATGTTCCATTTGTCTATGGAAACAATTTTTCCTGTAGGGATTGAGTGTTGTTGTGTTCAGTAAATAACAACTAGGTAATCTTGGTTGACAGTGTTGTTTGAGTCTTTTATATACTCATTAACTTGCTCTTCTAGTTTTATTGGTTACTGTGAATGGGATGTTAAAATCTTCAATGATGATTCTGTGCCTATTTTTGTCTTTAGTTCTCCCAATTTTTATTCATGTTTTGAATCTTTGTGCATCCACACTTAGAACTATTAAGTCTTCCTAATACAGTGACCATTTTATAATTAAAATATATTATTCTTTGTCTTTTTAAATACTCTATGATTAGATTTCTATTTAGCTTCTTTTTTGTGCTTATGACTATTGTGGTGTGGCTTTGCCTTTTTTCATCTATTACTGTTTGTTTTAGCTGTATCTATGTTTACTGTGTGTCTTTTGTAGAAAGCATACGGTTGTTTCATGGGTTTAAAATCTGGTATAACATCCTCTGCTCCATAATTGAGGGGTTTAGTCCCTTTACATTTAATATTATCATGGATATAATCTGATTTAAGCCTACCATCTTACTATTTATTTTCAGTTTTCTCACCTGATTTGTGTTCTTCTTTCCTTTACACTCTCTTGGGGATACTATTTTTTTTTAGTACCATTATACGCCTCATAATAATACTTTGCTCAATGACAAACAACATATATGACAGAAGTCCCATAATATTATAATACCATAGTTTAGTGAACATTTTTTATGCTTAAATACACAAATGTTTACAATTTTAGTACAATTGGCTACACTATTCAGTACAGTAACATGCTGTACAGGTTTATAGCCTAGAAACAATAGACTATACCACATAGCCTAGGTGTGTAGTAGGCTATACCATCTAGGTTTGTGTAAATACACTATGATTCTTACACAATCATAAAAACACCTAACAACATATTTCTCAAAACATATCCCAATGTTTAGTGATACATAACTGTATATTAATTTCTTTATTGGCTGGCTTTTGAACTATACCTTTTTCTATCATTTTCTCAGTGTTTGTTATAGGAATTAAACACGCATTTTTATCACAGTTTACTTAAAGTTAATATTGGTTCACTTCACATACAATGAAAAAACATAAAACCTGCATAATTCTATTTAATACCCTCCTGTCTTTGGACTAGTTTATCATATAATTTACTCTTTCATGCATTATAAAATCTACAATATAATTATTATTATATTTAAATGTATCTTAAAATTTTTTAATGATTAAAAAATAGCCTGTTTACTTACCCAAATATTTACTATTTCTGGTGCTCTTCACTCTTTTCTACTAATTAGTTCCTTTTTTAAAAATGATTTCTCATCATCTATCTTTAGCTACTTAGGTGTAACCTTAGCATTCTTTTAGGAAGCGCTTGCTGGTGCTGTTTTTGTTTATTCAATATTTTTATTTTGCAATTACATTTGAAAGGTATTTTTCCTGGATGTGGAATTCTGGGTATACTTTTTTATTTTTCTTTCAACAGTTCAAAGATTTTTTCTTTGTATTTGTGACCCCATTTTTTCAGATGAGTTATCAGTTGCCATTTGTTTTTGTACAATGTGTCTTCTTAAGCTGATTTTCTGATGTATTTTTTATCTATTGTTTTCATCAGTTTGATTACAATATTCACAGGTGTGGCATTCTGTTTATGTATACTGTTTGGCTTTGCTGAGCTTTTTAAATTCATAGGATATTTTTCACCAAATTTGGGGAATTCTTGGACATTATTTCTTCAAATATGTTTTATACTCATTATCTCTTTCCTTTCTCTTTGGACCCCACTTAATCTGTTAGACTAGTTGATATTGTTTCATAAATCACTGAAGCTCTATTTACTTTTATTGTATGTTGTTCAGATTATTTACTATGTCTTCCCATCTATCTTCACTTTCACTGACACTTTCTTCTTCTGACTCCAGTCTACAGTTAAGCTCATTCCCCGAAAAAAAAAATACATATATATACACATATGTGTGTGTGTTTATATATGTGTGTGTATATATATGTGTGTGTGTGTGTATTTTTAGACTTCTAGAATTTGCTTTTTTTTCTTTTTCTAATAGTTTTCATTTATTTGATGATATTCTCCTCTTTTCACGCATTATGTCTCCATTTTTTTTTCTTGAGACAGAGTCTCACTCTATTGCCCAGGCTGAAGTGCAATGGCACAATCATAGCTCACTGCAGCTTCGGCCTCTTGGGCTCAAGTGATCTTCCCACCTCAGCCCCCCAAGCAGCTGGGTCTACAGGCACACATGAACACACCTGACTAATTTTTGAAATTTTTATAGTGAGAAGGTCCCATTATGTTGCCCAGGCTGGTCTCAAACTCTTGAGCTAAGTTGATCTGCCTGCCTTGGCCTCCCAAATTGCTAGGATTATAGGCATGAGCCACTGCACCTGGTCTATATCTCCATTTTTAATAACATTGAACCTATTTATCATAGCTGTTTTAAAGTCATTGTTTGATAATTTCCACATCTGGGTTTTCTTGAGGTCTATTTCTATTGATTACTCCCAGCTCAATTGATTACAGGTCACATTTTCATGCTTCCTTGAATCAATAGATATATTTTATTTTATGTTGGTGATATGGGTTGAACTGTGTTCTCTAGGAATTTAAATGTTGATGTCCTAAATCCCAAAGCCTTGGAATGTAACATTATTTGGAGACAAAAATGTTTACAGAGTTAATTAATGTAAAATGAAGTTATTCAGCATGTATGGTATTTTTACAAAAAAGGAGAAATTTGAAGAGAGACACACACTCAGGAGGAAGACCAAGTATGTATTGGTGATATGCTCACAGCCCTTAAAAGTAACTTATCGTGTGGACATCTTGATTTTGACCTAGCCTCCAAAACTTCAATACAAAATGTTGTTTTTTTAAGTCATTTAGTTTGTGGTACTTTGTTATAGCAAAATATGACAGCTGAACATTGTGAATGAGATTTTATAGAGTGTCGGAATTATTTTAAATTTTTTTTTGTTAGTGGAGACAAGTTATTGCTATATTTCCCAGGCTTGTCTTGAACTCTTGAGCTCAAGTGATCCTTTTGCCTCAACCTCCCAAATTCTTTTAAGAGGTATCAATTTTTGTGCTGACAGTTAAATAACTGCTGGATAATTTTACTCTTAGTGGGCTTAGTCCATTCCAATTTTTATCTTATTCTGAGTGCAATAACTACTCTAGAGTACAGCCCTTACTTCTAATGTCTAACTTTTCCAGAGCCTCAGTTGATTGCCTGATGTACTCGGCATGTTCTGTACACTCTGGCTGGCCGCGATCTACACTTTTTCTCGACACGTATGTCCTCCGTTAGCTCTTTTGAGCTTTTATTCCTAAGGAATCTTCTTTCTGCAAAGCCTCAGGGAATATCACTCTATATATTGATAGTCTAGTCCTTAGCCAAAGACCTGTAGAAGGCCTCCTTCATCCACCAGATTTGTAGGCTTTCTTACCCTGGGAAGCTCCTTCCTCTCAGACACCTTGACTCATGAATTTCAGTCCGTTCAGAAGCCCTAAATTTCCATCTCTTCCTCCTCAGGTCAGCATGGCATTTGTACTCTAATTGTACTCTAACAACCTGCTCTGTGATCTGAAACATGTTCCAAGGTAGAAATTCAGATCCCCTTCAGAAGGCCTAACTCCAATCTCTTCTTCTCCAGGTCAGCATAACAGCAGGTTGTAAATGGGAAACACTTTGTGTCATGGTCCAGAAGGTGTTCCAGGATGAAAGGCAGATCCAACATGTGTTCACCTTATGGAATTCCCTTTGCTTATGGATAACAGTCTCTTCTCTTCTGTGGACCAGTACTAAAAATAGTTGCCAGTGTATTAGCTGCTCATGATGGGAGGGTAAAATATACCAATTATTCCACCATGGTAGTAGAAATCTGCCTATTTATTGTCTGTCTATCTATCTGTCTCTATCTATCTATCTATCTATCTATCTATCTATCTACCTATCTTTTATCTATCCACCTATCTAGATATACCCCAGCTCAAATGTTTCAGCTCAAATCTCTCAGCTCCAGAGAGAGAGAAAGAAAGAAAGGGTGAAAGAGAGAGAGAGTGAATGTGCCCTGTTTAACTGTTTTTAAGCTGAGATATTGGTTTGGTCATAGGACTTTAACTGAAACTTCACACATTTCTGGAACTTAAACCTGCCAGCCTTTGGACTTGAACTATACTACTGGCTCTCCTGGGTCTCCAGGTTGCCTACTGCAGATCTTGGGTCTTGTCGACCTCAATAATCATATGAATCAATTTCTAGTACTTGTAATAAATCTCACATTATATTGGTTCTGTTTCTCTGGAGAGTTCTGACAAATACAGATTTTGGCACTGGGAATGGTTCAATTCAAACAGATTTTTAAATTTAAAATTTTTTAAAAATGTATTACTCCTCCATAAAAATAAATTATAGAAACAGAATAATTTTAAAGATGAATTTTCTGATTTGGTTCTGGGGTTTCTGGAATTGGCTTTCTAATCTAATTAGATTTAAAGACAATAATGACTGTCTTTCCAGCATTAAAGATAATGCTGAAAGTCCATGGCATGTTCTAGCGGTGGAGGTATACAAAATATCAACCTCTTACAGGAAAGAAGAATCTGGGTGACCGTGTATTTATGTCAAATTAATGAATATAATAAGATTGCTTAGTTAATTCTAATATCACTGGACAAAATGGGCAAGAAAAAGATGATCTCAGAGATTCAAATTCCCAAATAAATTTCAGTAAACATGACCTGAAAGTTTCTATGTGTGCTCTGAAGGAGACCTTTATCTCCTGGAGCTGCAGTGCTCAGACTATTGAAAGTTAAATGCAGAATCTCATCCTTCTACTGGCTCAGTTACAACAGTTTGAGTTCCCCACAGGAGTGTCTCACTTAAAGTGAGAGCAGTGATTAGGAAGGAATTAGGTGCTGAAAGTTGGAACAGGGATGTGTGGAGAAACTTAGATGAAGCCAGGGACTTTGAGCCTCTAAATGGATCAGAATCTTTCTTGCTGGCGGAAGCAGTCTCCCCACCCCTAGTGAAAGAAACGTCTCCACTCTAGTAGAAGTGGTCTCACCGAACACTTGGACACAGGAAGGGGAACATCACACACCGGGGCCTGTTGTGGGGTGGGAGTGGTGGGGGGAGGGATAGCATTAGGAAATATACCTAACGTAAATGACGAGTTGATGGGTGCAGCACACCAACATGGCACATGTATACATATGTAACAAACCTGCACGTTGTGCACATGTACCCTAGAACTTAAAGTATAATTAAAAAACAAAAAAGTGGTCTCACCACTCCCATTGGGGAGGATTAGCTCTGTGTTGCCTGAGGAAACTGTATAGAATTGAGGATCTTTGTAAATGTTTCCAAAGAGGCCCTGTGACTCTCAAATTCTACTTTCAAGTTAGAATGATTACTCTGAACCTGATAATATCTCTCTTAATATCTCAATGGTGCTCCAAAAAATCCACTGATTTTATACTCCTTTTTATTACCATTTATCGCATACAATTCAAATGCCAGTTATATTGTATGAACCTCTTCTAATAGGGCTGCCGGATTAACAAATAAAAATAAAAGCCACTCAACTAAATTTGAATTTTAAGTAAATAATGAATAAATGTTTAGTATAAATATGTCCCATATGTAAGTATATATCATGCATGAAATAAAATATACATTTATTAGACATATGTATACATGAGTATAAGTATACATATTTATGGGGCACACATATAAGAGATGTATATTATATATTAGGATATACTTATGGGACATACTTATACATAAAACATATTTATACTAGAAAAAATGATTTACCTGAAATTTGAATTTAGTTGGGTGTCTTGTATTTTATCTGACACCTTTGTCTTGTATCTTTGTTTCTTCCCAGTTGACCAAAGATAAATGTTTTATCAATTGCACATCTGCTTTCTGCTAGGAACTATCAGTAGTTTACCTACCACAAGTGATGGTGTCATTATGATCTGGGCATTGAGTTATCCAACATGAAATCCTTTTCTCGTGACTCCTCCTACCACCAATTATCTGAAGCTTGGATAACTAAAATCTGAGTTTGTGACAGGGATTACATGCATGTGATTTACTGAAGGAGTGATCCCCATTAAAAAAAAAAAAACTTGTAAGAAAATGAATGAATCAAATTGGTGAGGTAGGAGAGAGCTAAACAAAAATCCCAATTCAAGTAAAGTCCATCCTTAGCCTGATTCATGTGGGAAAACTTATAAAAAGCATCACAGAGTTGTTCCTATTAAGGCAAAGGAGACTGCCATTTCCACCTGATATAAGCAGAAATTATCTATGGGCCTTTTCTGGAAGTGAGGGAAAGAACGTATTTCTAGCTTTCAATTGCTGAGAGCAATTCTCTGGAGAAGGGAAACACTTTTGTACTGTTAACAGTCACAGTGGACAGCAGCTGGGAGATGGGTACAGAGTCCAGGAAAATGGGATTCTGGTGTAATAACACAGCATCTACTAGGACTTCATTGTCTTGGTGGGATGCTGTGGCTCGAGGCTATAATTCTAGCACTTTGGAAGGCCGAGACAGGAGGATTTCTTGAGCCCGAGAGTTCCAGACCAATCTAGGCAACGTAGTGAGACTCTTCTTTACAAAACAAATGAAAAAATTGGCTGGACACGCACGGTGGCACATGCCTATAGTCTCAGGTAATTGGGAGGCTGAAGTGGGAGGATGGTTTGAGTCTGGGAGGTGGAGGTTGCAGTGATGAAGTGAGCTGTGATTGCACCACTGCACTTCAGCCTTGGCTACAGAGTAAGACCGTTATCTCAAAAAAAAAAAAAAAAAAAAAAAGAATATGGTTGTCTTTTTTTACATTTTCATTCTTACTTCTGAAAACATAATTTACTCTTTCCCTAGTACTTAGAAATCAATGTTTTGTTTTCCTTATTCAGATAAAAATGTTTTGTTAAATTAACGAGTCACCTTACTAATTGGGAAATATGGTGGACACTATTCAATCCTTATTTCACATCATTTATGATATAGAATATTTTCATATTCATGAAAATGTACTTAACATATTACATTCTGGTTCTCATCCAGCTTTTCCCTATCCCTTCATTGAGAGTTTTCTAAGCTGTGTCTTTTATCTTTCTATCCTCTAAATGTCATCCATCCTGTACTTAGCCTTTTATTCTACCCACCATCCATTGGAAATTTCAAAGAGGTACCTCCATTATTTTACTACCATCTACTTACATGCCTATTATTGCCAATTCTATTTTTTCTTTCCTTGCTTTTCTTTCTGTGCTCAAAATTCACACACAGACCCACCTAATGAATGTTCTACAGACATTTCAAATATAAAATAAAACATTTTCTTCACAATTCTTCACAATGTCTGCTCTTCCTTCTTTATGTTAGTTAACAGCATTTATACAATTCAGAACTGTAGTTTTATGAATATACTTTCTGATCTTCTAATATCATAATTAATTATGTACTTATAAACGTATTTCAAATCCACCATAGGATTTACATTCTCACCCACTACTACCATCTAATATCAAGCCTTTATTATCTCTTGCCTGGATTATTTTAAGAGACATCTAGTGGTTTTTATGACTTCAGTTTGGTAGTTCTTCAAACTATCTTCAGTGCAAGGCTAGCCACTTCAACAACAGAAAATCTTGATGGCTTTATGCAATAAAATTTAGTTCTCAGGTCAGGTGGGTGGGAATGGGGGATTGTATTAGGGTTCTCTAGAAGGACATAACTAATAGGATCGATGTATATATGAAAGGGAGTTTATTAAGGAGAATTGACTCACACAACCACACAGTAAAGTCCCATGGTAGGCTATGCAAGCTGAGGAGCAAGGAAGCCAGCAGTGGATCAATCCAAGTCCCAAAACCTCAAAAGCAGGGCAGCTGACAGTGCAGCCTTCAGTCTGTGGCCAAAGGCTTGAGACCACCAGGCAAACCACTAGTGTAAGTCCAAGAGTCCAAAAGCCAAAGAACTTGGAATCTGATGTTTGAGGGACAGGGAGCATTCAGGATAGGAGAAATATGAAGGCTGGATGACTCAGCAAGTCCGCTCATTAAACTTTCTTCTGCCTCCTTTCTCTAGCCTCCCTGGCAGCCAGTGGTATGGTGCCCACCCAGATTAAGGGTGGGTCTGCCTCTCCCAGTCCAGTGACTCAGTTGTTAATCTCCTGTAGCAACATCCTCACAGACACACCCAGAAACAATACTTTGCATCCTTCAATCCAATCAAGTTTGACACTTAATACTAACCATCACAGGGATCATGTGTTATTGTTCCATGCAATCATTGAGGGAACCATGGAGTCTCTGCTATTTTCAACCTGTGGCTCTGCAATCCGTTTTGGTATCAGGATCCTCTGCTGGAATATCTGCATATAGCTAGTGGACAGAGAAAGAAAATGGAAATGGCATCCCTTCTCTTTGCCTACAATCCACTGATAAGGGATTTGTTCACACATGGCTACGAGAAAGGCAAGAACGTATTGTATAGCTGTGTATGAGGATGGAAATGCTTTAATGAACAACATAGCCCACCTTCATCCTAAAGAAATTTTAATTTTCTCCTCTTTCCATACATGCAACACATTCAACTTCCTCTTTAAGAGAGATGGCTCAAAGTCCCTTGTAATCACAGCACCTAGCTCAAAGTCCACAATATCTAGATGATGCACAGTGTTTAATCTGGTTTTTGGTATGTGATGTCAATAATTCCAGGAACTAAAAATGAAGTATCTTTGTTCTTGCTACCACTCAACACACAGACTCATGCACACACACACACACACACACACACACACACACACACACTCATTTGGAAAGACTAAAATGGGAGATACTAAAGTCATGGTGCTCAATAATTTTGAAATTCTTTTCGATGGATATCACTAAATCCCCTACCCTGAAGACAGGGGAAGGCTTTGATTACATCCTGATTATATACTTTGTGGGAAGAATTCTTTTATCTATTGTTTTTTCTCAAGCCAGTATGTTATTTCATGGTTATTACCCAGTGTGGCCATGACTGAAATGCATGTTTGAGAGGCATTCCTCTGAGAACTGTCCAGTGTTTTAGCCATCATTTTTAGATAGCTTCTTGCCAGTGCAAGTTTGAGATCAAAGAGTCAAAATGTATTAGTGTGAGTTTATTGTTTCATTGATAATACACTTTTCTCAAGTACTTACTGGGTTCTAATCTATGTACTTCCAGCAAGTTTCAAATCCCAGAAAACACGTCCGGAGTTATTTCCCAGACATAATTTTCCAACCTGATTATTTGTTTCCTTACTCTTATGCCTCTGTCTCAACTTAATGGTGTTAGCCTTAGGCTATCCGAAATAATAGACTTGATTGGAAAGGCTAAATCCTTAATCAGAACTTTTCAGCCAGGTTCTTTTTCTCTTAAAAATCTCACTCAATTTTATTTTTTTATCATTTGGATTCTCAAAGAATGCTTTTTGTTTTCTAATCCAGCAAAGCTGCACAAATCTGAACTCTGCCATTCCTTTGTATTGTTAACAAGCTAAACAATTCTTACACAAGTTTTTCTTTTTTTTACTAATGGAACCAATGTCGTGTATTCGGATCTCTGTTGCAATCCCACCCAATTTCAAGGTACTAATGTCTTTACATGGAGAAGTAGTGCTAACTATTGTAAGAGATACATTTCCAAGTTTCAGTGGTTTAATACAATATATTTGATTCCTGATTACATAAAGTCCAATGCATGGAATGGGCAAAACTCTATTCAGTTAAAGTGACCCATATTGACAGAGACTCTGACAGCTTCACCATATTTGGCAAACAAACATCCTGTTTCTGCCAGTTTTCTTTCTGAAATGCAAATTTAATAATATAATTTTTATTGTTGAAATCTTACTATAAATTCCTTACCGTCCTGAGAATAAAATCCAAGACCCTTAATATACCACAGAAAAATCGTTTTGTTTTGAACTCTTCTATGTCTCATACAAAATATAGACCCTGCAGTATAGAGCAGCATAAATATATCTGCATTTCCAAACTCTTTAGCTTATCATATAATGTTCCCCTTTGGAAATTTCCTCCTCCACGACTGTTATGCACTGTCATATTTGTCCAGCAGAATCTAGCTCAATGTCCTCTCTTCCTGGATGGCTTTTCCAAAATCCACATCTGCCAAAGACAATTGACTCTTCTTTGTATAATGTCTTAAAGTTAGTTTTGGTTTTGTGCTAACAATGATGCATTCTCTATATTTTTATAATTTCTTCTTGTTGACCTTATACAAATTCTAAAACTATACAGTTTCCTTAACATCTAGCTTAGTGCTGAAGTGAAAGAAGCCAAAGATATATTTATTGCAATCTACTGCATTCTTACAATTTTCTAAGATACATTATAGCATTATTTATTTTGCATTAAAGTTTTAATATTTTTAAGACTTGTGAATTATAATTGCTGAGATTCAGAGTACTTACATTTATAAATGTAAGTAACCATTTGCATTTTATTTAACTCCATAATAATTTGTCTTGGAGTTCAATATCTTTTGTTTGTTTTTCAGAATAAAGAAATGTCTCTGTTTTCTTGGAATTTCTTTAATATTATGATAAATTGCAAAATTTAAGGCTGTATATATCATGGAGATATTTGTATATGTAGTATTTTAACATGATTTTTTAAGCATTTTTATATTTCTGAATGCTTCAGAAAAGTTAATTTTGAGTCAAGAATAAGGCTGGATCACTGAGATTTGGCTGTGTTTGAATTTAGTTTCAGAAATGCATTGATATGTATGATGGCTAGTTTTATGTGTCAACTAGATTAGGCTAAGGGATGCTCAGATATCTGACAAAACATTATTTCTGGGTGTGTCTGTGAGGATGTTTCTGGAAGAGATTAGCATTTGATTCAGTAGACTGAGTAAAGAAGATCTGCCCTGACTAATGTTGGTAGGTATCTTCCAATCCACTGTGGGTCCAAATAAAGCAAAAAGGCAGGGTAAGGGTGAATTTACTCTCTATTTCAGCTGGAACATCTATCTTCTGCTGCATCCAATATTAGCACTCCTATTTTGGGGCATTCAGATTCAGACTAAATCATGCAACCAGCTCGTCTGGTTCTCCAGCTTGTAGATGGTAGATGGTGGGACATTTTGGCCTCTGTAATGGGGTGGGCCAATCCCTGTAATATATCTATCATCTGTCTGTCCCTTATTGGTGCTTTTTCTAAGGAGAACCCTGACTAATACATCTGTCTTCTACTAGATATAAAGAAATATGTTAGGCTCTTAGAGAGATAGAATAAAACATACTATTTCCTGCTTTCATGATGTTTTGGTGTGGACCATATTGGATTAGAGGGTTTGAGAGCAAGAGTTGATTTGTCTTTGATATTTTCACAGATGACTCTATGGATCATAATTTTAATTTTCTATCTCCAAAAGGTTCATTTTGATTTTAACTAATTACTAAGATGCTTCATAACAAAGTTTTTTTTCTTTAAAATTATCCTTCTCAGAGATTGAGCTTTGCGTCTTTCATTTCTAATTTACTACTGACTAAACCAACAATACAAATACTGAAAGGATAGCATGGTAATTTTGTCTCTTAAGTGTCTGTGTGTGATGTTATGTGATGGATGACACACTTTGCATCAAGAGACCTGACTTTCCTTTCCTTCTTCTTTATTAACCAATTCTATAGTGTCTAATGAAGTGAGTCACTGAATCTTTATTTTATTATCTTGAAAATTCAATGCACAATGACTAAATTGCAATAAATGAGATAATATATAAAAATGTTATGCATATATTCCAGCAATATGAGATATTTTTGGAAGCTGATAAGTCACTTCAATTTCACTTTGGAATTAACATGAAATAGCTGCTAAATTTATAAATAAATGAATATCAAATATCAAAATTATTGGCCACATATTTCTGATTCTCCCTCAGAATGAGAAATTGCTTATCAATAAATGTTTTATGATTTGCCATGTTTTTTCTTTCAATATACACAAAACTAGCATACAAATAAATCAAAGTTTTTTCCCCCTCCCTTTCTGGAAATATGCTATAGACATAAATCTAGCTTATTGAACAGCTCTTCTGTGTTAGGAGGTACAATCACCCATGTGTGACTGTGGTTTATTCTTCTCAAATATATACAATATTTCCCATAAAACCCTTTGAAATAACAGAAATGAACCAGAGTTTTTTTAAAGACTATGTTTCCTTTGGATTTTTAAGAAATTATAACAAACATATAAAGAGAAACTAGGTGACTATTAAGTTAATTAATTTTAAGTGTACTATTTAACGACTACTCTTTGCTCAAGAAAACTAAGCTTATTTTTATATGTGTTTCAATTATCTATAAATTATAATGGAATTGACATTGGTAGCACTTCACATGCTCTTAAACTGGTCTTCTTTGTAGTTTTCAAAACATTAAACCTCTAATATGCTATTTAGTCATCACAACAACTAAACAAGAAATATTTTCTCCTTATATGTGAGAAAAAAGATATTTTAAGCATCAAGATTTTTTTAAATTTTATATTGAGAAAATTGTAGTATAAGGCATCAAACATACATCTTCCAATTCCAAACCTTCACTATTTAAACAAAAAATAAACAAGAACTTCAAAGCTAACACCAGGAAAAGACTAGTACTCTCACTCCCTGAGGCTTCGAAGATGAGGACTAAATCCTGCCAATTCTAACCGTCTCATTTATTCAAAGAGCTAGAATAGAAAGTTCAGAAATCTTTGGGGACCCACTCCAAAGGCACTGGATTTGGCACTGAAAACATTCCTAAAGCACAGATTGAAGCAGGAACAAGAAAAGGGAAACATTTGCAGCATGTGACTTGTATTTTAAGATCCATTTTATTATGATTTTATTAAAGTATTTGCAGTAGCATCAAGGATCAGGATAAACTCAAGCTTAGAGGCCTTTGGGATAGGGGTTATGGCAAGTTAAAGTTTGGCCTATGGACACCAAAGCATCTTCCTGTGTTGTAAAAACAATAAAAACAAGTCAGATGAGGCAGTGGGGGATAGTAAATCTAAGGCCTGTATCTCTGCCAAAAGATTCAATACAAACAGCCACATTTCTCCCAACTCTGCTGTTTGTGTTGTTGTTGCCAAATTCACCAGTGTAAATGTCCATTAAAATAACATCTTTGGGAAAATAGCACAGTATCAATGTTGTCTATGAAAATGACAAAAACACAAACAAAACGGCACTTGTGACAATCTCTAGATGAGTAACTGCGGGGAATCAAATTTCTACAGAAAAAAAATAGTTGTAACAAGTGGATAAAGGAAACAATTGTTGCAGAGGTCAAAATAAGTTTTAAATTACCCAGCCTTGGGTTTTTCTTCATAGCAGCATGAGAACAGACTAATACAACTTCATTGAATTTAATCACAATTCAAACGTTAAAAATTGGGTGGATCACCTCTCATTGATTTATGACTCAGTTACTTCCTTCATTTTTCAAAACAATAATACAGAAACTTCTGTACATCAATGGTCCGTGAGAACCATCACTTATTATATGGTAGTCATTCAATTCAACATCTTCAGACTTTTCAAATTTGTTCACATAACCATCACATGTTGATGAAGTCACGTCTCAAACTCTTGAGCCAATTCTTTCTTAAAAAAGCAAGGTTCAGGTGAGTAGCTCATGACATCAGTAGTGACAATTTGCTCTTGGATCTGCCCTAAATTTCCTCAGAGCCATTGTTGTCTCTGGTTCCCTGGTGGCTACATTCTTCCTGAATTTCTACTCTTCAAAGCAATGTGCCATGCTGTAACAACCCCAATACGTGCTTCTGACCATCTATCCTCTTCCTCTACAAAAACCTACCTTGTATTTCAACACAGTCTAGGATTCTGACAAATGTTTATACTAATATTATAATTTTCAAGCTACATCTAAAATTCCTATTTTCCATATAATTCCTTGCCATCCTGTGATCTCTGCTTGACATACTCTCATAGTTCTGTTTCCCTTCTCACCCCTGACCTTCCAGAGTGCCCACTCCGGGTAAGTTTCATTATTCAAGTGACAGAGAAATGTTTTCTCTTTGAGGTAAGATAGTATCTGTGATGATTAATTTTATACGTCAGCTTGCCTAGGCCATGGGTTTCCCATATATTTGGTCAAAAATTATTCTTGGTATTTCTATGAGGGTATTTTTGATATAGGAGTTAAAAAGAAATGACTTAGACAGATAGTGAGGGTATGGAAGTCCTTGGTAAGGTTTTCCTTTTAATGAAAAGCAGCCCCAAATCATTTTCCTTTCTAACAAGGAGCAGCCTGTAAAATCGAGCCACAGATATAGATGACAGCAGAAAAATACTACCAGGGACTAGGCATGTTCAAAATGGCGGCTCCATCTTCTCTTCTTGCCAGCCATGTGTAAGGTAAGGAGCAGACAAGATGGTGCTGGTCAAGTGGAGAGCCCATTTGCATAATAACATTGGGTGGGGTGGCCAGCCCTCCATGCAGGCTATGTAAATGGCACACCTGATCAAACCAATCTGTGAGCCCTACCTAAATCAGACACCACCTCCTCAAGCCTGCCTATAAAATCTGGCAAACTCCACAGGAGGCCCGTCTTTCCCTTCCAGAAGCCCCTGTCTCTCACTAAAGAGAGAGTTGTTCTCCTTTCTCTTTCTTCTGCCTATTAAACCTCGGCTTCTCAACTCCTCATGTGTATCCATCTCCTAAATTTTCTTGGTGCGAGACAACGAACCCTGGATATTCACCCCAGAAAACGTAGCTGCTTCATTTTGAATGAGATTAAACTTTAAATCAGTGGACTTTGAGTAAAACAGATTTCTCTCCATTATGTTGTGAGCCTTGTCCAGCAGTTGAAGGCCTAAATAGAACAAAAATGACAGGCTTCTTGCAAGCAAGAGAAAATTTTCAAGCAGATAGTATTTGGACTTCATCTGCAATATAGGCTTTTGCTGAACAGCCTTTGGACTTACCTGAAACATTGGTTCTTCTGAGTCTCCAGCTTGCTGGCCCACCCTGCAGATTTTGGACTTGCTAGATTCCATAATCATGTGAGCCAATTTCTTCCTATAAATCTCTGCCTATATGTATATATAAACATCTTATTCTGCTTCTCATTCTGTTTCTCTGGAAAATGCTAATTACAGTACTTTTTTTTAAAGCAATGTATTCATATTCATACAAAATAGTACCATAATAACATGGAAAACCTTAACAATTAAAACTGTACCACCCTTTTACTTTCATGATCATTCTCCTATAGCACTTTCCTCTTGGTCTAAATTAATATATTTTTATAAAATTATTATAGGTACCAACAGTTTACATTATAATGTTATTATAAATGTTTTCTAAGTTCTGCATTCAACATTATTTCATAAATAACACATTGGATAGTTTTGTTACAATTAGCGTTTGTATAACTACTAGACTTTATTACAGGTTTTGAAATATGTGGATTTAATTTTTTAATATTTAAGAAAAATGGATGATAAATTGCCTATATATGCAATTTCAATAAGTAGGAATTATTAGATTAAAAGTTATGAGCATTTTGAATTATTTTCTAAAAACTGTGATAATGCCTGTACATGTGACTATGTATTAAACTCTCAGCAGTATCCAAGTACTCATGTGACACAGAACACTAACATATATTATATATTGTCATCTATGAAATTCATTTGATAGATGCATGACAATGAAATGCATTTAAAATATTATCAAACGTTATTACCAAAATGTCACAATACCCCATGGTCTTTACTTTTTATACTTAAGTATTGAATTATCTATAATTTAAATTGGAGGTTAAGTGTTAAAGATCAAAGCCTTTGTGAACCTAATCAATTGCGTTAAATTTTTTTATAGCTTCTAATAAATGATAGTGATTTTTTTCCTCTGAGCATTGTTTTGTTTATATCTAATGTATTCACATAAAATTTATTACTGTTATTTTTAAAATATTCATTTATTTAAGCATTGATATCTTTTTTTTCATCTAAGAAGGCTGTTACTTTTTCGTTCAGTTTCCAAGTAGCAGGGGTTTTATTTTCTTCTAATATTTATTATGATTTCTAGGTTTCTGCAATGATAAATTATTATCTAATCAATTTTTGTGAATGGTCAATGAGTGCTTTGTACTCTTACATTAATATTAGGGCCATAAAGAAACTAAAACTAAAAGTGAATTGGAAAACAAATAACAGGAACAGAAGCTTTTTAAAGCCCAGGTATATCATCCTTAATGGTGATTAAAACTGGCTTAATTACATTTGTGCAAATAACATAGCATAAAAATAAACAAATATCAATATAAAAATGCAAAAATAAATGGACAGGAATAGGATATTGCTAACAGACATCTTACCTTACCATGTAAGCCCATGAAACAAAAGTAGATCAACAATAAATAATGGTAAGGAAGATACGACATAGCCATAAAGCTAATGATGATAATTCACCAAAACGATCACTTTTTATAGAATTATTTCTCAGTTATTTGAATTACTTAATAATTTGAGATTTATCTATAACACCACAGGAGTAGTACCATGCAGGGGTATAATAATTGATGCCTAATTTTTTTAAAAGTGATAAATATTATGCCTTTGTTAAGAAAACACAAAATGATGTACTGATACACTGTTTAAAGGTAGGCTCTGCAATAAATCAAATGGAGACCATTTCTGGGAGGACTGGGAAACCAGCCAGAAAATGGTTGTGTAATACAGACCCAGAAATTGGTAGTGTACTATAGAATTAATTACTTTCCAAAGCAATAGGTCCAGACTAACATTACAAACATAGTGCCCAGTTTTATGTTTTGTATATTTCACCATCCAACACTTAATTATAGCAGATTTAGTAATATGTTCACGAAAAGGAATAATTGGTAAATTAATTATATTTTTAATTTTTAGTATTACTTTTTTTTTAATAATAAATTAGTGTTTTAAAATAATAGATGACAAGTAAAAACAATTTGTTTTAAACTGGGGACATGTATATGAAAATACAGAAATGTTGACAAAACATTAGATTATGTAGTCCCAGTTACTCAGGAGACTGAGGAAGGAGGATCCTTTGAGACCAGGAGTTCAAGGTTGTACTGTCCTCCAGCCTGGGCAACATAATGAGACCCTATCTTAAGAAAAAAAAAGAAAAAACCCTAATATTCAAAAAAATATTTATTGTGTGTCTTCCAAATACCAGCCTATAAATAAAACTGAGAAAACCCCTGTACTTTTGGGAATTACATTCTAAGCTTAATGACAAGAGGAGAATGAAAAGTAACTAACATTAAACATGAAACAAAAACTAAATTGGTATGGATTTTTCTGTAAATGAATGTGGGTTATTTCCCATTCCCTTTCTACTTTATGTTTTATTTATTTTTATCTATTAAAGCCTCCATTAATAGATTTTGCCAATTTCTAAAATCTGAAATATGTAGAAAGTAAAATTGGAAAACTAAAATATGAAGCTTGTCAACTTCTTTTCTTTTAACAGAAACTTAAAATATATATTTTTGTTGAAACAGAGACACAACACATTTCCATGTTATCTCTTAGATGTTTTATATATTTTTAGCTATAGTATTTCAATGCCAATTGTTACATTTTATAGGTGTCTCCTTTTTACAGTTATAATTGTATATATCACTTGAAATAATTATATTTTCAAAACAAAATTTACACTATGTGACAAAAAGACTGGAAACAAAATGGTGTATTGATATAAATATATAATTGAAACTAATATTTAATGGGTTTGTAAATATATTTTTGTTGGCTAATTTTCCCTGGAAATTAGATTTCCATATTTAAATCTGCACCTTAGGAAGCTGGAATTTCTTCCCATTAGAGATACAGTAATAACTTTGTAATTAGTGAAATCATTGTCACACTGCATAATCAGCTCATTGAACACATGCATTATAGTAAGAAAAAAATAATAAAATTCCTTGATAGTAACATAACTGTCCCATTAAAGTCTTGATTAACTTTATAACAATAATACAGTATCATTTTGGTTTTGTAAATTAGCAGACAAATTGGAAATATATCATACAAGGCTCCTGTATCTTTACAGAAGAGAAGGATGCTTAATTAAAATAATATAATGCTGGCAACATTAATTTCTTATTGTGAGGACTTAGCAACTCACTTCAGAGTATGAGGCCAAAATTATATTTCAGCAGTTTTATGTTAAATGTTTCAAGGAAAGCCATACGGCCCTGGGCACTGCATGACATACAGTAGTATCAGAAACAATTGATGTGTGTAATGACAATTGCAAGCATCCTTTCCAGATGAGCTGACCCACCCTGATTCCACCCTGCTGCTCCTGTTTGGTCAGCAGGTACCTTTCACCATCTGTTTCTCTCCTAGCAGCTGAATCGTTTCTCTTATTGTGTACCTAAATGGTGAAGCATGTTTAATATGAAATATAGCTTGTAGGCCATGGGATATTCTAACTATTTCTATTGAATTTGGTTAGACTAATTTTAGCTTGAAATGCATTTTTCCTTTGGTAGTATGAAAGTAGTTTCTATCCTGAGCATAATCAGATGAAGGCATGTAAATTTTTAATAGGGACTGTACATATAATTACAGAGATTGCTGTAATTTGCTGTTTGTATTATTAACATGCTTATGATGATATAATAATCATTCCTTCTAACTAAGTACTTCGCATGATTACTAAACTGGCCATGAAAACTATAGAGCCTCTAGGAAAACATGTATACTCTGTTGACTTAAAATGTAGACATCATTTTTGCATTGTTCTTTGTCTTTCTTCCCAGAATATCAAAATTTGCATTATGATTTTTTATGTTTTATTAATTTTTTAAACATTTTAATAGAGCCCAAAATGTTAATGTTATGCCCTGGAGATTCACTTATGCTTCTTTGAAGCAATTCTTGGTTTAGGAAAATGGGAGATAAGAAATTAAGTCATTCTGGGGGACAAGCCTAAACCTGTGATTCTTCCTAGGAAAGGACTGGTAGGGGCCCAGGAAAGAAATGAGTAGTAAAAATGCTTTATTCCTGAGAGAAGAGAGAGGAGCTGAAACCTGAGCATATTATAAGCAAATGTTATAAGCAACATTTCCAAAATTATTCAAGAATCAAATATTTGTAAAACGTTATTTTCATCACATTATTCTTTCTTTCTTTGATTTTTTTTTCTTACAAAACAGCTTTTTTTAATTTGGCCACTGAAAAGGAAGAATGGCATATTAATATTCCAGCAGAAACTCTTACAAAATAGAAGATGATAGCAGTGAAAACTGCAAAGGCAAGTCTTGTTCTTGGCATCAAGTTTACGATTATGGTGAATTCTTTAGGCTTTAGTTGGGGGAAAAAGAAGATTATTTAACCTAAGCCTATTTTTCTAAAATCTGACTTCAATTTTAATAAAATGGAGTTTTTTTGCTACTCATCCTCTTCCTGTATCTGGGCCATGTAAGGAAGTGGTTACCATGTTGGTCGAGTTGTCCTGTCATCAACCTAACAAAGGTACTGATCATGCCTGAATTCCTCTAGCATCAGTAGATGCTCTGTAAATCACGATGTTGTAAAAAAAATCTCCATTTGACTGTGAGGTGACATCCACTTAAATAGACACATTGATATGAAACTTTTAAGATCACACAAGTGAAATGTTACTTTAAAGACAATTCCTGACATTTGTTTCCTTTGTTTGCTAGTGTTATTTCTCCTAAAGGATTAACTTGTTTACACCACACCTTTTCCAAAATGAGTCAAGTGACTCAAATAATAAAAAGTATCTATCTGTTAAGAAAAGCATAGAAAAATCAAGCCATGTAAAGGAATCAGCAATGCATATGTTAACCAAGAGAAATAAGCCAATTATTGTTATTAAACACTAAGTTTGTTCCCAGGTTTCTAGTATTTAGGGCAAAATGAATAACATAGTAGGTGACATAATTTGTATCTTCTTGGATAAAGCCTGCTAGTTATTTTAAATAATAATCGTTCAGAAAAAATCAACAGTGCTGGTTTGGAGTTATTCCATTAGTTATTTCTATGACCTTAGACAATTAATTCAAAATCCAAAGTTTTTCCAGCAGCCCACCAGGTTCTACATGATCTGGGCCTGAGTAAATCTGTGAACTCATCTTCAACTCTTGTCTTTCCCATTCACTTGGCTCCATTCACAGTAGCTTTCTTGCTGGCCCTTGAACGTGCCAAGCGCACTCCAGCTTCAGCTTTTGCAATTTCCTCTGCATGGGTCATTCTTACTCCAGATGTTTTCTCTGTTGCCTCCATCACTTCATTCAATTCATTAATCTAATGAAACCTTATCAGTTAGGCTTTTTTGACCACTTAATGTAAAATAATGTCCACCCACGAGAACGTGCTTTTTTCCCCTTATCCTGCTTTAATTTTCTCCAAGCCCTTCCTAGAAATCTTGCATGAATTCATAGTCATTTATTTTCTTATCTTCCTTCTTAAAATATAAATTCCATGAGGCATGTAATTTGTCTGCTTGGCTTATTGGATGATCTCCAGATTTTATAATAGTACCAGGCACACAGTAGACACTCAATACATAGTTGTTTCATGAACGATTTAATTCAACAACCACTCAATCAGTGGCCTCTTTGTACAAGCATTACACCTAAAGATGGGCTAGAGATATGGCACTGAATAAATTCTTAGATACAAATTATTCATAGTATAATAAATATGTACATTTAAACTTTATCTGTTGTTCCTTAATGAAAGATTGAATTCAATCATCTGTAAGTGTGTCTGGAATTGGTGGGTTCTTGGTCTCGCTGACTTCAAGAATGAAGCCGCGGACCCTCGCAGTGAGTGTTACAGTTCTTAGAGATGGTGTGTCCGGAGTTTGTTCCTTCAGATGTTCAGATGTGTCTGGAGTTTCTTCCTTCTGGTGGGTTCATGGTCTCGCTGACTTCAGGAGTGAAGCTGCAGACCTTCACGGTGAGTGTTACAGCTCTTAAAGACGGCGCATCTCGAGTTGTTCATTCCTCCTAGTGGGTTCATGGTATTGCTGGCTTCAGGAGTGAAGCTGCAGACCTTCCTGGTGAGTGTTACAGCTCAGGCAGCATGGACCAAAGAGTGAGCAGCAGCAAGATTTACTGCTAAGAGCAAAAGAACAAAGCTGTCACCAAGCAGGTTGCTGCTGGTGGCTTGGACAGCCTGCTTTTATTCCCTTATTTGACCCCACCCACATCCTGCTGATTGGTCCATTTTGACAGGGTGCTGACTGGTGCATTTACAAACCTTGAGCTAGACACAGAGTGCTGATTGGTGCATTTACAATCCTTTAGCTAGACACAAAAGTTCTCCAAGTCCCCACTAGATTAGCTAGACACAGAGCACTGATTGGTGCATTTACAAACCTTGAGCTAGACACAGAGCACGGATTGGTGCATTTACAATCCTTTAGCTAGACATAAAAGTTCTCCAAGTCCCCACTAGATGAACTAGACACAGAGCACTGATTGGTGTTTACAAACCTTGGGCTAGACACAGGGTGCTGATTGGTGCATTTACAAACCTTGAGCTAGACACAGAGTGCTGATGGGTGCATTTACAAACCTTGAGCTAGACACAGAGTGCTGATTGGTATATTTACAATCCTTTAGCTAGACATAAAAGTTCTCCAAGTCCCCACCAGATTAGCTAGATACAGAGTGCTGATTTGTGCATCCACGAACCCCGAGCTAGACACAGAATGATGATTGATGCATGTACAGTTCTCCAGCCTAGACATAAAAGTTCTCCAAGTCCCCACCCGACTCAGGAGTCCAGCTGTCTTCACCTAGTGGATCCCGCACCAGGGCTTCGGGCAGAGCTGCCTGCCAGTCCTGCGCCGTGCATCTGCACTCCTCAGCCCTTGGGCGGTCGATGGGACCAGGCGCCACAGAGCAGGGGGCAGCGCCCATTGGGGAGGCTAGGGCCGAGCGGGAGCCCACTGCGCGGGCGGGGGGGGGGGGTGGGGGGCTTGGGCATGGTGGGCTGCATAAGGTTTATTTTTTTATTTGTTGAAACTTATTATTGCTTTTATTTGTTGAAATTTATTTATTGCTATATCCTTTTCTTAGCTTTTATTTTAAGTTCAGGGGTACATGTGCAGCTTTGTTACATAGGTAAACTTGTGTCTTGGGGGTTTGTTGTAGAGACTATTTCATTATCCATGTATTAAGCCTAGTACCCATTAGTTATTTTTCCTGATCCTCTCCGTCCTCCCACCCTCCATCCTCCAACAGGGCCCAGTGTGTGTTGTTCCCCTCTGTTCGTCCATGTGTTCTCATCATTTAGCTTCCATGTATAAAAGTGAGAACATGTGCTACTTGGTTTTCTGTTCCTGTGTCAGCTTGCCAAGGATAATGGCCTCCAGCTCCATCCATGTTTCTGCAAAGGACATGATCTCATTCCTTTTAATGGGTGCATAGTATGCCATGATGTATATATACCACATTTTATTCACCTAGTCTACCAGTGATGAACATTTAGGTTGATTCCATGTCTTTGCCATTGTGACTAGTGCTGCAATTAACATACCTGTTTATGTGTTTTTTTTATGGTAGAACAATTTATATTCCTTTGGGTATATACCCAGTAATGGGATTGCTGGGTTGAATGGTATTTCTGATATTAGGTCTTTGAGGAATCACCACACTGTCTTCCATAATGGTTGAACTAATTTACATTCCCACCAAAAGTGTAAAACCATACGTTTTTCTCCACAATCTCACCAGCATCTGTTGTTTTTTTACTTTTTACTAATAGCCATTCTGACTGGTGTGAGGTGGTATCTCTTTGTGGTTTTGATTTGCATTTCTGTAATGATCAGTGATATTAAGCTTTTTTGTATATACTTTTTGGCTGCATGTAAGTCTTCTTTTGAAAATTGTCTTTGACAAACCTGACAAAAACAAGTAATTGGGAAAGGATTCCTTATTCAATAAATGCTGCTGGGAGAAATGGCCAGCCACATGCAGAAGATTGAAACTGAACCCCTTCCTTACACCATATACAACATTAACTCAAGATTGACTAGTGATTTCAATCTAAAACTAAAAACTCTAAAAATCCCTGGATGACAACACAGGCAATACCATTTTGGACATAACAATAGGCAAAGATTTCATGATAAAGACACCAAAAGCCATTGCAACAAAAGCAAAAATTGACAAATCGGAGCTAATTAAACCAAAGAACTTCTGCACAGCAAAGGAAACTATCAAGAGAGTGAAAAGACAACCTAATTTTGCGAAGTATGCATCTGACAAAGGTCTGATATCCAGCCTCTATAAGGAACTTAAACAAACTTACAAAAAAAAAAAACATTAAAAACTGGGGAAAGGACACAAATAAACACTTTTCATAAGGTTTCTTTTATCTGGAAAGTTTTATAATATTATAATTCAAAGGCCAAGCAGGAGTACAGATGCTCTTTACCTTCATTTCAATGTTCTAATTTGTCCCTCTAAAGCTTCTTTTATAAGTACCAACTTCTATTTATAAAGTACACCCTTTAACTTACAGATTCTGAACTTATGTCAAATTCTTTCTTGTACTGAGATTGCTCTCTTAGCTCATCTCTGCCCATCTACATCACACTCACACTGAAGGCTGGGACAAATCTCTCTTACATGTGAACTTTAACTTTCCTGAACCAGCCCACAGTGCTTACAATGGAGAACTTGCTGATCAGTTTATTCAGCCTCATTTACAGTGAAAAAGTAAATAAACTGAGTCCCAGAGACATTGTTTATTACTCAAAGCTTTTAGCTAGTTGATGACTAATTTTGCTTATGTCCTAACTTAGATATTTCTTTCCTAGATTTGGATATCAGATATTCCTTTATACTGCTATCTTTTAATTTTTAATGCCCAGTGAACACAAATTAGTTAAAACATAAGCTTCATGTTGGAAAAGCCAGAGGTTTTTGGCTTCCAATAATATTCAAAGCTCTTTCTTTTTTAATATATCTGATTCTTTTGCAATATTTTCAGGAAAGATATTATATAATGGGGCCTCAGCTTATATCACAAACTGCAGTATTGTGTTTCCTTATAAAGAATAGTTATACACTCTACTATGTGTATGCATGTATAGGTATATGTTGTCATCTAAGTTCTTTATGAACACAAAAGTGAGCACAATATAGATACTGCATAGATCTTTGCATTTTTTACCTAACACTTGTGGAGGTTTTTTTCATATTTTGGTCTTCAGTGTTTCCAATGTTTACAGACTATTCCATTATATACAGTGCCATAAATTATTTAGATAATCATCTAAGTATCTCTCCGTAGACACTGTAGGTATTTCCATTGTTTTGCTTTGCTATTCCTAATAACAGTGTAATGAATAGAATACAAATATTTATAAATTGTACATACACATACCATATAAATATAAGTAGTTTTTCATAAATTTATGAGCTGTTTATCTTTTTTTTGTGAACTGCAAGTTCCTACCCTTGGATGATTTTTTTATTGATTCGATCATTCTTTCATTTTAAATTTGTATGGGCTCTTTGTAAATTGAAGGTATTAACTTTGTGTCAAGTGCTGTAAATATGTTTTGCCAGTTGTCATTGGTATTCACTTCTTTGAGATTTAAGACAACTCACGAAAGTAAGGCCGTGAAAGCTATTCAAAATTAAGTGGATATCTGAGGCAATTATTCAGCACAGTCTAGCCCAGAAAAAAACACTCAGTTATTTTAATATTGCAAAAGGCAATGTTAATTTTGCACTTTTTTAGGAAAATAAAATAAGTGGCTTGGTAAAATAATTTTCTATCTGGAGTACAATGACATAAATAATATTTAACAGCTCTGCAACATTGTTTCATACATAATTTAGATATTTTGCAGGTGTCACAGGGAAACTTTTCTCTCTGCAGTGTTTGGTCCCCTCTTGAAAATAGTCATTTCTGGTAATAAGGACACATGTTGTAGCTCCTCTACACCACAAGGCCATTAAAAGTTAATTTTATTTAATGTAAAAAAGTTGTATCTTGAGAATGAAATATTTAGGAAAGAATAATGATGTTGATTATGTTGACAAACAAAAGTCATTCAAAACATGTACCAAAGAAGAAGCAGAATTCTCTCCTCTATATATATGTGTGTATATGAATACATGTATGTTTATAGATATACATGTCTATATATGCATATATATGTCTATATGCATATATATATATACACACATGTACCTGTTTGCATCTATAAATAGATCGACTCAGAGAGAAGGAAAGAAAAATAATACAAATTCTATTTGGTATATTATCTATAATCTAAAAATATTTAAAAGACACTATTAGGGAAACTGTGATGTTTAAAAATGTAGGTTATCTAGAATAAGATCCACAAATTGTCTCTGAACTACAGATAATCAGAGTAGCTAAAAGAAATTTTTACCATCCTCTATAGCCAAGATTTTAAGTACTTCTGGGGAACCAAGGAGTGAATGAGGAGGCACATGGTGCAGATGTTAACAGAGCGGGCTGCAGATGCTTGGTGACTTGGTTAATATCTGTCTCTAATGTTCACTATTGCATTTCATTGGAAGGGACATAACTATGCTATATCTCAGTTTACTCACTGATAAAACAGGCCTCCTAATAATGTCTATGCCATACGGTTTTGTGAGGATGGAATAAATTAATACATGCAAAGTTCTCCAAGGAATGCTTGGCATACAATAAATGCTCAGTGAATATCTGGTTGTAGAACTGTCAATGTCCCATTTTAGACCTGTAGAGGAGACATTTCCCATACCTTTTCATTTCCAGACATCCCTCTTCTTTATTGGAAGTTGAGGTGTAAGTTGGCTTTTATTTAATGGAAGAATGCAAACAGAGAGAGTGAGGACGGGCGCACTACTTATTGGAATGGCAGCTGCACAAATCAGGCATGATTGCTCCCATGAGGCTAGATCCGAAGGCACATGGGAGAGATGGAAATAAGGTGAGGAAGGGAAGCTGGTATTAAACTCTGACTGGAGTAACTGACATACTGAAAAAAATGTAAAGTCCCTGCTCTAGAACCAATTTCTACTATGCTCCCTTTGATAATGACCACCTTTCTTCCTGAATAGCCTCTTGATTAGATACTACAAATCTTACAAATTTGTTTCATTTGTAAGTGAAGAATGTGTTGGACATGGTAAAATCTTGTGAAGACTAAATGACATGAAATTTAAAAATTTTATGTAGGATAGAAACATTCTGTAAATAGTAGTTAGTAGCAGTAGTTTTAATTAGTATTGTTATAATTTAAAAAAGAAAAATTATAAAGGGTCAAAGTTATATATGTTTATATAGACAGAAATAAGGAACAAGGCAAAAATATTTTATTTTCTTAAACTACAAGAGGAGAAATGTGAGATTTGTCTCATCTGGCTGGCACATCTTATGTAGACAAAAATAATTTCAAAATTTTGATATGGAATGTTATATCACATATCAATCATGCTTCCCAACAAATTTTGTTTATAAAAGATTGCAAGTTTGAAAAATGTTTCAGGTGGAGATAACATAAGAAAGCTAAAAAGAATAACATCCAAGTGAATAAGATATCACATCAGCATCCTAACCATTTCACAGCCTGAAGACAACTGTTATGCAGCCAACACAAGGGCAAACACAGGCTGCCAAGGAGCCAGATGCTATTGCTGGAAAGAAAATTTTCTCAGCTCAGCATCTGGGTCTTGTAATGCAATCCAGAAAAATGAAGGCAAGCCGAGTTTTGCAAAGGGGAACACAGTGCCCTTACCTAAATGCTGTATATATTATAAAATAATATTTATAATAAATGTTTATTAATTTTAAAACTCAAAACCAGATTTGACTGGTACTCAATATTCCTCCAGGTCAGTGATCACATCCATTAAGATGTTTATCCATTATAAAGTTTGTAATGGAATATTTTGTGTTGGTGTCTTGGAGGAAAGCAGGGTTCTATAAGACCACTCTCCAGTATAACTTCTTGTGGGTACAGACATCTTAAGTGGAAGCTTCTGTTCTTTGCACTCCAATATTTATAGAAAGCTGTAAGACTCACAAGCTTTGGAATCCTAGTATTTGACTATTATGTATATAGTCTCCATAGGGAAGAACACATCAATTGGAAAACATTGAATAAATCAGAGACTAAATGGACAAGGCATAAGTTAATATTGACACCCAACAGAATAATATGCTTGTTTATCTGAAATGATTTTATAATCCTTATTTTTTAAAAGAGTATTTCTGTTTGGACAAGGAAAAAGTACATATGAAAAAATATATATATTATATATATATAATATATATGCAAAACATACCTGTATATATTAAATAATTCTATTTTACTGTTCAGGATTTAAGTCGTAGTATTTTACAGGAATATTTTATCTGTGTATCTAAATGTCTGAGATTGGCTATAAGACTGTCCTTTGGTGATACATCTTCAACTCGTTTTGTAAGTATAACTAAATATTTGGTAGTGAAAGCATAAGGTTCAATTTTATAATACCAGATACATGTATCTGCTATTAGATAATCTGAAGTTCAGAAAGTTGTGTATTAAAAAATACAATTTATCCCAAGAGATCCTACTTAATGATCTGTTATGTTTAAGTCATTAAGAAACTGCTGAAACTTATTCAAAGATTAAGTATGGACACTTTTGCTGTCCAAGTGTTTACTGTTTTTGACATAATTACACTTACGTACCATTTATATTTTGCTATCAGTTTTATTAAGGGCAACAACCAGATACTAATTGATAAAAGGAAAAGAATGAAATTATAAAATACAAATGTACTTCTGCTTCCTTCCATTTTGGAGATCAGTTGGATTCCTATTACTTTTAGGTTCTCTGCTCAGTAATAGAATTTATGTATTTGTGTGTTTGTTTATTTATTCATTTATGTCTACCAGATCAATTTTCTTTCCTTTAAATATGTGCCAGTGTCCAGATAATTAAGGATAATAACAATACTATTTTGCAATAATAAAATAAGTAAAACAGATAAAGCTTTTTATGGAGAATATCATAATTATTGTTGTACTTGTAAATTCAAGTGTATGCTGAGCATTAGTGGTCCTCCTATTAATTTAAGTGGTTTTTAACTCAAATAACTAAGAATAAATAGACCTACATATTATCTCTTAAAATGTAAACAAGTGTGCTCATCTAATTAGAGAAATAATATGAATGTGACCAAATCCAAGGTCTAAATCTCCATTTAAACTATATAGCATATTCTTGGCCAAGGAATACATTGCTAAATTTAGAAAGTGGAATCAGAAACGTGGTACATCAGTGATAAGATATACTTGCCAATCTAGTATGAATTCAAAGCTGTTACGAATTAAATTGGTTCTTCCCCCCTTCAATTTTTCCCCCAGATAGGTCAGTATCATCTTTATTTTAAGATTATAGATTGTGTTTGCCAGGCACAGTGATGTGTGCCTGTAGTTGTAACTACTCTAAAGGCTGAGGATTTCTTGAGCCCAGGAAGTCCAGGCTGCCGTGAGCTATGATCGCTCCACTGCTTTGCATCACTTCAGCACAGGTGACAGAGAGACTCTGTCTCAAAAAAAAAAAAAATTAATAAATTAAAAAAATAAAAAAGGTTCTTGATCATGTTTATGTTCATGTGTGCTAACACGGTAGATCAAAATGAGGTAGAACTTAAAATACATTTGAAAAAGAGAAAGAAAACTTAATTTCATGTCTATTTTTTGTTATCAGCTCTATTAGCAAACTCTCTAGGGTTTTCAAAGACGATGAAGAGAAGCCCAAATTAGATTACTTGAATCAACAGTCTTGTGTCTATTCATATTCAACTTCCTGCTTTTCATTGGACAAGAATTGCTCCAAGTTTTCCAGTTTTGTCATCTCTACATTTTGAACATGAACCAAAATCTATTAGGTGTATAATAAAGATAGGACCTCTAGCCATGTTTTGTTCTTAGCTGTGTTCCAAGTAGTGTCCACAAATTACTCATGTAATTACCCCAGCATCTAGCATTGTCTATATTGGCATTCACCAAAAAAAAAAAAAAAAAAAGTTGAATGAAGGAATAAAAGAATGAATAAAAAATAAAGAATAAAAGATAAAGAAATAGAATATGAGGTATTTAAATTTCTCTGGATGATCCATAGAGATCAAAATGGCAGAACAATATATTTGGACAAACAACCTCACTTATTGGCAAGAATATCATAGCATTAGCAAGAAAACTAGAATTGTGCTAGCTCTGAGAGATGGCTTTCTAGCCACAGTTCTTCCGTTTTTGAGCAGTCAAGTATTTGGTAAATCATGCAGCTTCTCCAGGCCTCAGTCTCCTCTTCAGTTCGGGTAGGTCATGAACTGCAACTAGAAGCATAGTGATTGCAAGCAACAATCAATTAGTAATTGCTTCCTGGTGCCATATGCGATTCTAAGTTCACTTCTGCATGAAATGAGCCATCAGGAGTACTGTGGATGGTGAGTAATGGCTGTCATGGGCCTGTGGGAATACTGCATCCCTGAACTAGAAGTTTTCTAAGGGGTTTCCATGGTTTTTCTGGATTCTTAAATAATCTGTTTATCTTGGCTGAAAATGCTTCCCTTACCTCTTTAACCTCTTGCCAAAAACCATTACTTTCTAGTTTCACTTAAGCTTTTTCAAGACAGTAGCTCTAACCTCATCAGTAGTTAAATGACTGTGATCCATATTCTGTTATCTTTTCCTTGTTGTTTGACTATCATAGATCAGAAATTGTTATTTTATGTCCTAGATATAAAAACCTTAATGTAAGATAATAGTATATTTTTAGTACTAAAATGTATTCATTGCATATTTATTAAGAAATGCACAATTATTTAAGATCAAATAATGCTTCCTCAGTCAGACAAAGCTAAACATATATGATATGATATAACATTTAGCAATGGATAATTCCAATATAATATGGAGTTTTTATACAAGACTAAACAGTTACATTCAGATTTTACTATAAATGATTATATTCCTGAAAGATATACCCTAAAATTCCATCTATTTATTTCAAGGCACTAATAATCTAGGGATCATGAAATAAATGTTATTTACTTTAAACAATCCAGGTAAATTTTTTATGTGTAGGTACTTAAAAACCTACAATTATAAGCAGCTTAGTCAATCTTGTTAAAAAAAAAAACTCTCTTCTGAATAACAGACAAAACAATGTACTTGATCTAATGAATTTTAATTTATCAGTTTAATCAACTTTGGTATGCCTGTTGCCAATTTCTTTGCCTTTAAACAAGAATATATGGCAATTGATCAGAAAGAATATGCTTTCTTTGTGACTTTGAAACTACGCCATTTCTGCTGCAGTTGTGTTGCTGCGATGGATGACTTTCACAACAGGAAATCAGGCCAATTTAAAGTCCAGGCACCAAGCAATTTGAGAACCACTAGCTTTATGCAGTAATATAATTATTCCCTCCGAGGCTCTTAATTGTATTCATCACACCATGATTTCTGCACAAATTAAGCATGCATTTACTGCTATATATAACTTGCTTTGCAGTTAACATTCTGGAAACAAATTTCAAGGAGATAGAATTTTGGACTTATTCATCCCATGAAATCACAAGTTCCAAATGTTAGGTATACTTTAAGGTCACGTTTTCTTCTTTCTAGTCTCTAAATAAATGAGATACCAAACTGTGCAGAGAGATGAAATATCTGGAACTGGATTTATGCAAATACATATGTTTTTCATTACCCTGAAAATTTGCAGAGAACCAAATTCTAAATATTTCCTGCATCCATACTGTTTTTCTGAAAGGAATTTTGAGCGAAATCTAAGTTACATGTAAAATCATTCTGAATCAAAAACTGTTTGAATGTATGCTCACCATCAAATATCAATTACCCATGAAATAGACTGCACATATTTAGGACTAAAATAAAATAATAAAAATGACCCCAATAAATATACACAAATAACATCATATCTTAAAAGTAAGTAGTATATTTTACCTGACATACATAGAAAAGAAATTTATATTTATGAGTTTCTAAAAATTTTAAACCAGAAAAATGAAGTTTCCTTTTAGTTTCTTTAAAATACTTTAAATGATGCAGTATGCATTCCTATAGCATTTGCTGCTGGTAGCTTTTATTACACTACTTCCCCTTATGCTGAATTTTTATCTATATTGGAAACATCGCTTTCTAGTATTTGATATAATATACTTATTTTCTCTATTTTTACCAGATTGTAAGCTCCATGAAGGCAATCACTTTTCTATCCATCCATTCATCCATCTGTCTATCATCTATCTTATATATATGTAATCTATCTTTACTGCTGCATATGCAGTGTGCCTAATAACTGTGTACAACACAGTGGGCATTCAATAAATATACGCTGAAGGAAATGCTAACTAATCTCTTCCTGTGTTAGCCCTGTCACATTCATAGACTGTAAACTCCTTGAAGGCTGGTGCTAAAGAGAGGAAGCATAGTGATCTGCATTCTCTCAGTCATACACTGTTGAGCAGAGACCATGAGCTGGGCAACAAACTAAAATGTCTAGAGTTTTTGCATTCACAAATTGTACTTGCACTTTCAAATGGCTTTGCCCTGTTTTAGTTGAATAACATAAAAATATTTAAAGTCTCTAATAGTTCATTTGTAAAAGAAGGCTAATGAGAATTGTTCAGAAATTGTTAGGACATAGTACAACACTGAATGTAGAATGCTGTAAACATAAGCCCAGCAGAAAGCAAGCACTTATTAGATGGTAGCTGCTACTTCGGGAGGATTTTTGTCTTCTATATTTGTTTACTTAGTATCTTATACATAGTAGGTGGAGGATAGATATTTTTGGAAGGTTGATTGACTTCTTTCTAGTTCCCCAAGTCAATCATCCTTAGGTCACGAGGATCTGGAAAAGAAAGAAGTCCTCATTTTAAATACAGCTCTGAAACAGGTATGAAAAATGGTGTCTGTCAGAGATGGGACCTGATTCATACAGCTGTGAGAGGACCTGAAGGGAACTAGTGGCCAAATGGGATGGGTTTATGTTTCTCTTAAGGGCAACCAACATATCTGTGAAAAGTGTTAAGCGATTTCACAAACAGACAATATCTCTGGATATTATTCAGCAGGTCAAAAGATAAGATTATAGAAAACTTGCTGACCAGAAAAACAATTTTAAGCTTTCTCATTAATGCATATTTGAAACAGTGAAAAATTGTATGAGAGTCATTGCAACAGAATGGAAAAAGTGAGAGAAAGACCTGTAAGGATTAGATGATTGGGTAATAGAGCTTACTTGTGGGGTGCAGATGAAGTAGAAAAAGTAATCAAAGATAAAATACAGACTTCTAAGTGAATATTTATGTCATTTTCTGGGGTAAGGGTTATAGAACAAGAGATAAATACCCTTTGCACATATTTTCAACACATATTTTAGGCAGAAGAATTATGCTGTGTTATTATTTGACAACATATTAATTTCCTCTTTCTACTTTCTCACCTAAATTTAATATAAGTTTTCTTTTGCTCATAAATTTAGTCTGCTCAGTGATCCACAGATAATTCAAGGTTAAAAATTATTATTTTCTCTGTTGTTATTCTTACAAAAATCAATCTGCAATTTAACTAATTAATATTTCTATTAATTTATAGAAAATACTTATGCAAGGGTGGAAGGATCAGGAAGTTTAAGGTTGTAATTTAACATCAAAATAACAAGTGAGAAAACTACACCTTTTCATCTGCAACATGCCATTTTTACATTAATGTTTGAAAGTTGAAAATTAGAATAATTGATTTTCTGTATATGCACTTAATTGCAATATTTGTGACCATATTATTGAACTGAATATTAAATTGGCATTTTGCAAAACCTTTCATTTGCAGATTGTACGCTTTTAAATTCTGTGTTCTCATCTATCAGCTTCAAGTCCTCCAGTCTATAGCCTTCTTAAATGGTGTTAACACAACTTCATTACATAGCAATATATACTATACAAATGTTAATTATGTATTTGACCTTGTTAATAACATGGCAATGTTACAATTTTGATTTGCTTTTAAAAACTATAGATAAAAAAATTTATGTAAAAGGATATAGAAAATAATCAGTAATGCAATTAGTTGCAAACCTATTTAAACATGTAGGCATAAAATGTCCCCAACATGTTATTAATTTACTCAATCTATTTTTAGGAGAAAGCAATAACATTCAGGATGCACAGTTATTTTTTTAAAAATTTTATGTACTATAATTCTTATGGGCTAATTAAAGAAAAAGTAATATAATAACATGACATTGTTTAAAAGTACCTCAAAAATAATTTTACATGTTTTACTAAGTAATATTCCATTTCATATATATTTCCTTTTTTTGGAAAATCATAACAAGCACAATACTTTGAAAACCATTATTATCATGTTTGTGTCTTTTAATAATAAAATACAGCAGTCAATAAATTTTGCATACTTCTAAATTCATGCTATCTACACGTTTTGTCATATAATAAGTAACATAATGATAAAGTGGGCAAGAATCAGAAAGATAGAGGGAGAGAAAGAGGTAAAGGCAGACAGAGACGAAGAGACTAGGAACTGATAGGTAATATTTATACAAGTAAAAAAGGAAGTCAACTGGAATAGATTCATTGGTGTTTTATGTGCCATCTTCTTCTAATAAGATCACATTTCCAGAAAATCAAGTCTGCATAAATATGGTAAAATCAAGGGCTACTGAAGTCACTAAGCTCCAGTTTTCTTAAATGACAAACAAAAGTGAAAAGCAAAGAAACAAACAAAAAGATTCTAAGGGAATTAGTTGTCTGCAACAAGAGAAATAGAATTAACAGAGAACAAAACAGCATTCTACTAAAGTACCAAGAGAGAACAAATTACTGGCAGAGCCTAAATGGCATAAAAGGAGCATTTATTGTCATGAATATTCATGTCACTTGTGTTTCACTTGCAAGAAAACTTTAGCAGGAGCTTCTTGAGTCTTCCTAGCATCGTAACCAACAGTCCAAGGTGGGTCCTGAGAAGAAAACTAAAGAAATACAAAATTTGGCACTAAAGAAAGAGAAAGTTTGGGGAAGAAAAGGGGATATACGTTCTCCAAGTGGCAGATATCAGTGTGTAGTATCCCCTGATAATGGAACTTGTGATGAGAAAATTCACTGTGCCTTGTATATTCTAGGTTTACTGAAGCCCTTGATGGGAATGACAACCAGAGCCCCAAGTGAGTTTGTATGAGCTGTATTACTTTTACACTCCGTGCCAAAAGTTAGGCTAGAAATATATTTGTAGTAAATTCTAAAACAGTTAATTCACGACACCTCATTCTTGAAGGTGACTTGCTTTGAATACTTCTATACATTTCGGTAGGGAGGTAGTGAAAGTTTAAATGTTACAAACTCAGATAAAATGCTGAAGAATAACTCTATAAATACTATGTGAGCCTAGATTTTCTTTATATTATGACAATTAATTAATTATGTCATTGATTTCCTAATTTTTCTTTTCTTATGCAGAAAAAGAAATATGTAGTTTCTTTCATTATATGATTTTTATATTTTTGTGATCTATGGGGATGCTTTTGTACTTTAAAAATACTAGCTACTTTCACTGTAATTTGTATTTGCCTGTAAAGTTAGTGAGTAATCTTTTATTGTTTTTGAAAAAGATAAAAGTTCAACTTTGTGGGTTTTGGTTTTCGAAAATATGCTGTCAATGTGCATAAACCATTATTTTTTTCAAGTGCTCATTATACACCTTTAGAAATAATGTCAGTTTATCTTAGGACTTTTACAATCTATATAGATGAGTTTTAATTAATTAGAGAAGAAAGGCATGAATGACAAACTTAAAGATTATTCACTCAAAAAGAGAATGTTTCCATATTAGGAGCCAAAACAGTATTAGGAGCTGAGAATAGAAGCATAAATAAAATGCCAAATCTGCCTTTGGGAATCTTAAATCAGCTTAATAGCTAAACACAACACACTATATTTCTGGCTTTACTAAATTGGATGTAACATATTTTACAAAATTAGTGAAAACTCTTATTCATGGGAGGGAGTTTCCATGTGCATACAGCATAGAAGGGCTAAGTTTTATTTAAGAAAAGAAAACTTGTTTTAAAAAGTCACTTTCTAAAGATGCATTGCAAACACGCTTTGGTTTGGGATACAAGAATGACATAAGAAGCATAACAGTGCAGATGTGGGGGGTTGAATTATCACACTGCCATTTGTGACAAAAAATACATATAGCACAGCATTACATGTGATTTTTACTTTGAATTTTCAAGTTTGTACTTTAGATAATTATAATACTAATGGTAATGTTTTTAAAAAATAAAGGTATGCAAAGAATCTTCTACTTTTATTCTTTAAGCATACATGCCTGTAAATAATCCTCTATTTTTTACAGGAGACTTAATTCTCTGTGTTTGCAAGGATAACGAGAAGTTGAAAGTTACACAGTGATAGGAAGGGACAATGAATCTGAAAGCATTATATTTTTTAAAAATTATTTTTTAGAAAGAGAGTCTAACTCTGTTTCCCAGGCCAAAGTATAGTGATCACATTTCACTGCAGCCTCAAACTCCTAGGCTCAAGGGATCCTTCTTCCACATCCTTTGGAGTGGCTGGGACTACAGGTGCATGTCACTATGCCTGACTAATTTTAAAAAATAATTTTAGAAATGAGGTTTTGCTATGATGCTCTGTCTGGTCTTGAACTCCTGGCCTCAAACAATCTTCCTGCCTTAGCCTCTGGAGTAGCTGGGATTACAGGTGCAAGCTATGACCCTGGCTTGGGAAGCATTATCTTAAAAACATTGTGCCCTACTAAGAATGGACCAAGAGCTTTATGTTGGGCCCACACTCGAAAGACTTCCCCTTATTTTATACTCAAATTATTAGCGAGGATATGAGCTAGAGAATATTCTACAGATCAAGTAGGGGTGTGCTGAATTTTCTCTAATAAAATAACTGGTTTTTCCCTCATCATTGCTGATACAAAGAGGTTACAAACAAGTTTAAGTTTGAAATTGGAAAAAGAGGGAGAAAGAAATTAACAACAAAGAGAAAGCAAAGGAATGGATAAGAATGAAAAAAACAAACAAAAACCAGAAGACTGAGTACAAATGCTGATAGTGGTTTGATTTTGCATGAGCTTCAAAGGGATGATGATTTAGCATGGTGAACTTGGAAAAGTGGATTTAGAAAAGGAAACAGGTTTATGCTATACATAGGGGCAGATGTGAGCATCACTGGTTTCCTGCAACCTAAAGTTACAATAAAACAAAATAAAAAACAAAAAGTACATCTATATCTACATCTCCATCTATATCTGTATCTACACACACACATGCATTTTGCATACGTATTTCCCATATATATTTACTATACTTATTCTCCATAATGAAGGTATTTCTAATGGTATTTTTTTAAATTATTTTTGGTATTCAAAGGGGTACAAAATAAAGGCAAGAACAAGCAATCTGAGTCAAAACCTCTAGGTTCTAGAGCTGTCTGTCTTGTAATTAGATTCATGTTCTTAATAAGAGCACTTAACCTCTTTAAGCCTTTTTTCTCAATAGTCTATGGGGGATTAAACAATAGCCTTAACCATACAAGCTTTCCTTTAAATTTCTCTGTAACTGGGAATGCTGATGCTTCCAGAGTTGTATACACAAATAGTCTGTAAGCTCTAAAGGACTTTACAACTATTGAGAATGGTAATGATAATATGCTTTAGAAAATGTTGATTTACATTAGCTTAAATGTGCCCTGCACAAATAAGTTAATTTCATGACTAACAATCATTTTTGGTTTTGTGTGTGTGTAATGAATAAAGAACATGAGGCATTATACAGTTTTTTCCTTCTCAACAGATTTCTGCACATAGAAAAAATATATGTAGAGGGAAAAAATTAGCCTTTCATGTACTCCAGTGCTTTGTATGCTGAAATAATTTATTTTTAAGAGAATTTATAAAATAGTACAGCATTAAAAATGAAAAAAGAAATTCATTGAGTTATTCTTTATCACATGATTGCTCATGGAAACTTGGTTTAGGTCACAGCCATACAAAATATCGGACTTTATTCAATGCTCTCAGGAAAAAATGTAAAAGTCAAGTTTGCTCATGTCACTAAGTGATAGAAATCATCCTGTTTGATCCCAGTCTTTTGTTACACTTAAAAGAGAAAAAGAACTCCTATAAATTCCTGAAATAAATCAAGTTTCTCAAAAAGCTCAAAATTAAAAAGAACTTAACAGAAAAACATTTTCAAAATGTCATTGACATAAGAGGGATCTCTGGGAAGATGAAGGCATAGGAAGCACCAGGAATCTTGCTTCTTATCTAAACAAACAATGACAGTGTTAAAATCTGTCTAATATAACTATTTTGGAGTTCTAGAGTCTATTGAAGTCTTGCCACATCCAGGGGAAGACTTGGTTGGTAATTTATAATTAATTTTGGTTAATTACAAAGTTTTGCACAGTATAATCTATCCATCCCCCACCCCTAGTCCCATAGCAGACAGCTGTGCAGGTTTCTGAAGCAGCCTGTACACAACTTGCAGGAGCCAGGGTGGGCAAAAAGGATCCTGCTCTTTACTCTCTGGGAGCTGTGCTCGGACCACTAATTTCAGCTGTTGGTCACAGAGATGCAAAAAAATATGTGGACAGACATTGTCTTGAATTTATACCCATTATTGAAAGCCTCTTCTCTTCCAACTGAAGTGAATTCCAGGAGATTTAAAAGGCCTGCATTCTTTCTTCTCTTCATTTTTATCTTTTCCCCTTTTGGGAAGATAAAAATAAAGACTAAGACATTCAAAAGCAACTGCTTATATGAGGAAAATTAGAAAATGACTGTGTATGCCCAGGAAAAGTTTTCGACTCAGAAAAGACCTGAGAAGACATCAAGTTTGCACCTTAGGCTGATCCTTGGTACAGAGACAGCCCACAACAATCAAAACTCACAAAAACAATATACAAAAACAAAAGGAAAAAATAAATAAATAAATCCTGGAGAAATGAGGGAAATCTGACTTCCAGGGTTACCACATTGGATCTAACAAAGATTCAAGTAATTTAACCTTTAATAAAGATTCAAATAATTCAATAGTCATTAAAGATTTAGTAATAATAAATAACGTAATAAAGATTCAAATGTTTATTGAGATGAGGCAAAACAAGATTGCAGAATAGAATCCTCCAGTGGTTATCTCCCCTCAGGAACACCAAATTAAACAACTAGAAACTCATATACACAATTGTTTAAACTTGTCTTTAAGAAATAATTATTAAGCCGGGCACAGTGGCTCATGCCTGTAATTCCAGCATTTTAGGAGGCCAAGGCAGGCAGATCACTTGAGGTCAGGGGTTCGAGACCAACTGGGACAACATAGTGAAACCCTATCTCTGTGAAAAATACAAAAATTATCTGGGCGTGATGATGCACTCCTGTAATCCCAGCCACTCAGGAGCCTGAGACAGGAGATCACTTGAACCTGGGAGGCAGAGGTTGCAGTGAGTCAAGCTCACGCCACTGCACTCCAGCCTGGGCAACAGAGTGAGATTCCATCTCAAAAAAAAAAAAAAAAATCAAAAGTTTGAAAGACAGAGGGAAATTTGAAAGCAGCAAGAGAGAAATGACGAGCCACATATAAGGGATTCTCAATAAGATTTTAAACAGTTTTTCATCAGAACGCTAGAAGTAATAAAACAGTGGGCCAATATATTTAAAAGCTAAATGAAGAAAACTGTCAACCAAAGTTCCTATGTCTGGCAAAGTGTCCTTCAAAAGTAAGGAAGAAATTTCAGATAAACAAAATCTGAGTGAGTCATTATCACTAGGTATCCGCTCTGTAAAAAATGCTCAAGGGAGTCCTTCAATGTGAAAGGGAAAGACACTAGACAGTAAACTGAAGCCATATGAAGAAATAAAAATCTCAACACATGTAAATACATGAGTAGTTATAAAACCTAGTATTATTGTAACACTGGTTTGTAATTCTACTTTTTGTTATCTGAATGATTTAAAATACTTGTACATTAAAGGAAAACAATCAATTCTTAATCTAAATGTAGTATTATTGTAACTTTGGTTTGTAGTTCCACATTTTGTTTTCTACATGGAACTAAAAAAAATCCTGAATAGCCAAGACGATCCTAAGCTAAAAGAACAAAGCTGGAGGTATCATGCTACCTGACTTCAAGCTGTACTACAATTCTACAGTAATCAAAACAGCATGGTACTATTACAAGAATAGACACATAGACCAAGGGAACAGAATAGAGAACTCAGAAATGAGACTGCACACCTACAACCATCCAATATTTGACAAACCTGAAAACAACAAGCAATCAGGAGAGGATTTCCTACTTAATAAATGGTGCTTAGAGAACTGGCAAGCTATATGCAGAAAATTGAAACTGGACCCCTTCCTTTCACCATATACAAAAATCAACTCAAGATGGATTAAAGACTTAAATACAGATCACCTGAGGTCGGGAGTTCAAGACCAGCCTGACTAATATGGAGAAACCCCGTCTCTACTAAAAAAAATACAAAATTAGCCAGGTGTGGTGGCAGGCGCCTGTAATCCCAGCTACTGGGGAGGCTGAGGCAGGAGAATTGCTTAACCTGGGAGGTGGAGGTTGCGGTGAGCCGAGATCATGCCACTGCACTCCAGCCTGGGCAACAAGAGCGAAACTCCGTCAAAAAAAAAAAAAAAAAAAAAAAAGACCCTAAAACTATAAAAACCTAAAAACCCTAGAAGAAAACCTAGGCAATACCATTCAGAACATAAGCACAGGCAAAGATTTCATGATGAAGATGTCAAAAACAATTGCAACAAAAGTCAAAATTGACAAATGGGATCTAATTAAACTAAAGGGCTTCTGCACAGCAAAAGAAACTATCATCAGAGTAAACAGACAACCTACAGAATGGGAGAAAACTTTTACAACCTATCAATCTGACAAAGGTCTAATATCCAGCATCTACAAGGAACTTAAACAAATTTACAAAGAAAAAAAACAAATAACTCCATTAAAAGTGGGCAAAAGACATGAAGAGACACTCCTCAAAACAAGACATACATGTGGCCAACAAACAAATGAAAAAAAAAAAAAGCTCAACATCACAGATCATTAGAGAAATGCAAATCAAAACCACAATGAGAAAGCATCTCACACCAGCAGAATAACTATTATTAAAAAGTCAGAAAACAACAGATGCTGGTGAGGTAGTGGAGAAAAAGGAATGCTTTTACACAGTTGATGAGACTGTAAATTAGTTCAACCATTGTGGAAAACAGTGTGTCAATTCCTCAAAGACCTAAAAACAGAAATACTATTCAACCCAGCAATCTCATTACTAGATATACACCCAAAAGAATATAAATTGTTCTACTACAAAAACACATGCACACACATGTTCAGGGCAACACTAGTCACAATAGCAAAGACATGGAATCAACCTATAAGCCCATCACTGATAGACTGGATAAAGAAAATGTGGTACATACACACCATGGAATACTATGCAGCCATAAAAAGGAACACAATCATGTCCTTTGCAGGGACATAGATGAAGCTGGAAGCCATTATCCTCAGCAAACTAACTCAGGAACAAAAAACTAAATACCAAATGTTCTCACTTTTAAGTGAGAGCTGAATGATGAGAAAACATGGGCCACTTGGGGGTGGGGAACAACACACACTGGGGCCTGTTGGAGGGTGAGGGGTGGAAGCAAGGAGAGCATTAGGAAGAACAACTAATGGATGCTGGGCTTAATACATAGGTGATGGGATGATCTTTGCAGCAAAACACCATGGCACACATTTACCTGTGTCGCAAACCTGCACATTCTGCACATGTACCCCTGAACTTAAAATAAAAGTTGGAAATCAAAAAAAGAAAAAGAAAATAGGCATCTTAAAATGCAGTTATAAAGTGGCAAAAGCTTTTAGACAACCATTAACTGTCCTCATGGAAGAACAGATTAAAATGTCTAAAAGAAATAGAAATGTTAAATGCTCTAATTTTGCATCAAGTACGTAATTTATTTTTTGTTTTGTTTTATATCCAACCAGTTGAAAGCTACAAAATAATACAGCACAGATTTCTTTTCATTGGTCCTATAATACTTCCCCTGGAACAATTATGCATGCAATTCAGGGACCGTCACAGCCAAACTGATGCCTTCCCTTGGGACCACGATGAACAATTGCTCTTCCCCATGGGGTGGCTCTAAAAACTGAGTCTAAAAGCAGAGCCTGTTTGATGAATAGCAGGAGCCCTCTGGACTGTGCCACTCTTTGTGGATGGGAGAGAGAGGCTACACCACTGGGCCAAAATACTTCCTACCAAATGGTCAACTGCAAATTAAGTGACTGCTGCAGAGCTCTGTAATAAGCAAGGAAGAGAAAGCATGACAACTTTTAAAAATTAGGAAAGACATGTTTTTTTGTTTATTTCTAAATCCCTAAGAGATTTAGAAAGCTGGACTCCAGGCAATCCAGACCCAGGACAGATTCTTTCTGCTTGGGGAAAGGAGAAGGAAGAGTACAGAGGCCTTTGTCTTGTACTTTGTGTACCAGCTCACCCACAGGAAAACAAAACACCAGACAGATTCTGGAAGCCCCCAGTTTCAGGCCTATTCTCTTGGATGATGCTTTTATACCCAACCTGGGCCATGAAAGAATCCACTTCTGTGATGTGATGGTCAATCCATGTAGGATTCACTACAGACTGACTTAAGTGACCTTGGGCCTTGAATAAATGTCAGAGGCAGCCAGGCAGTAGTTGCCACAGGTCTTAGGCAAGCCCCACTGTTATGCTGGTCCGGAAGGTCATAGGCATGAGGTGAGACACAGTGCAGTGCTAGCTGTGGTGGCCATAGGATTATTCATGTCACCCCTACCCGATCTTCAGGCAGCCAAACACAGAGACTCTTTCTGGAAGGAGGAAAAGAGCAAAGAGAGTAAGAGACCTTCACTGGTAACCCAGGGAATTTTTTATTGCTCCCAAGTTCACCAAGGCTGCATATCCAGGAGCTTGCAAGAGTTATAGTTTCCCTGGGCTTAGGGTATCCCCTAGTGCTGAAACAGCTGCAGTGACCACAGGCCTAGGTCACAACACTTAATCCCTGTTTAATTCTTAGAAAGCACTCTCAAGAAGGATGAGTGTATCTATCCAAAGGAAAAGAAGTCATTATATGAAAAAAGACACTTGAACACGCATGTTTATAGCAGCACACTTCACACTGCAAAAATATGGAACCAGCCTAAATGCTTATCAACCAACAAATAGGTAAGAAAATAATATATATATAGTGGAATATGACTTAGCCATAGAAAGGAATGAAATAATGTCATTCACAGCCACCTGGATGGAGTTAGTAACTCCATCTAAGTGAAGTAACTCAAGAATGGAAAACCAAACATGGTATGTTCTCACTTATAAGTGGGAGCTAAGCTATGAGGATGCAAAGCCATAAGAATGATATAATGGACTTTGGGGACTCAGGGGGAATGGTGGGAGGTGAGGGATAAAAGACTACATATTAGATACAGTATATTCTGCTCAGGTGACAGGTGCACCAACATCTCAATAATTATTCCATGTAACCAAATACCACCTGTTCCCCCAAACTAACTGAAATGTTTAAAAGGAATACAAAAAAAAAGAAAAAAGAAAAGAAAAGAAGGAAGGAAGGAAAAGGAGAAAGAGAGAGGAAGAAAGAAGGAAAGAGAGAGAAAGAGAGAGAGAAAGAAAAAGAAAGAAAGAAAGGAGGAAAGAAAGAGGATTTTTTTTTTTTTTTTGAAACGGAGTTTCACTCTTCAGTGCAATGGCATGATCTCAGCTCACTGCAACCTCGGCCTCCTGATTCAAGCAATTCTCCTGCCTCAGCTTCCCAAGTAGCTGGGATTACAGGTGCCTGCTACCACACCCGGCTAATTTTGTATTTTTAGTAGAGATGGGGTTTCACCATGTTGGTCAGGCTGGTCTTGAACTCCTGACCTCAGGTGATCCCCCCACCATTACCTCCCAAAGTGCTGGGATTACAGGCGTGAGCCACCACGCCTGGGCAGATTTCTTATTTTAAGTACACATCACACAAAATTTGCCATCTTAACCATGTTTAAGTTTACAGTTTGGTAGTGTTAAATACATTCCCTTTTTTTAAGCTTTTATTTTAGTTTTGGAGGTACACATGAAGGTTTGTTACAAAGGTAAACTTGTGTCACAGTGGTTTTTGGATAGATTATTTCATTACCCAGGTCATAACCCAGTATCCAATTTTTATCTTTTCTGCTTCTCTCTCTCCTCCCACACTCCACCCTCAAGTAGAAGCCAGTGTTGGTTGTTTCCTATTTTGTGTTCTTAAGTTATCATTTTGCTCCCACTTATAAGTGAAAACACATGGTATTTGGTTTTCTGCTCCGGTGTTAGTTTGCTAAAGATATGGCCTCCAGTGCCATCCATGTTCCTGCAAAAGATGTAATCTAATTCTTTTTTATGGCTGCATAGTATTTCCTGGTGTATATGTACCACATTTTCTTTATCCAATCTGTCATGGACGGTCATTTAGATTGATTCCATGTGTTTGCTATTGTGAATAGTGCTTCAGTGAACATTCAGGTACATGCGTCTTTATGGTAGAATGATTTATATTCCTCAGGGTATATGAAGTATACCCAGTAATGGGATTGCTGGATCAAATGATAGTTCTCATTTTAGCTCTTTGAGGAATCTCCATGCTGCTTACCACAATGGTTGACTTAATATACACTCCCATCAACAGTTTATAAGTGTTCCCTTTTCTCCACAACCTTGCTAGCACTTTTTCCTTTTTTTTTTTTTTTTTTTTTTTTTTTTTTTTTTTGAGATGGAGCCTCTCTCTGTCACCCAGGCTGGAGTGCAGTGGCACAATCTTGGCTTGCTGCAACCTTGCCTCCCAGGTTTAAACAATTCTCCTGCCTCAGCCTCCCGAGTAGCTGGGGTTATAGGCACCCACCAACACGTCCGGCTAATTTTTTGTATTTTTAGTAGAGATGGGGTTTCACCATGTTGTCTAGGCTGGTTTTTGAACTTCTGACCTCAAGGGATCCTCCCGCCTCGTAGTAGCCATTCAATGATACTGAGATGTTTCAAATGCTTCTTAGCCACATGTATGTCTTCTTTTGAGAAGTGTCTGTTCATGTCATTTGCCCACTTTTTAATAAGGTTGTTTGTTTTAATCTTATACATTTCTTTAAATTCCTTATAGATGCTGGGTATTAGACCTTTGTCAGATGCATAGCTTGCAAATATTTTCTCCTATTCTGTAGGTGGTTTGTTTATAGTTTCTTTTGCTGTGAAGAAGCTCTTAAGTTTAATTAGATCCCTCCCACTTAAAAATTTTTGCTTTTATTGAAATTGCTTTTGGCATCTTTGTCATGGAATCTTTGCCTGTCCCTATGTCCAAGATGGTATTATCTTGGTTGTCGTCCTGGATTTTTATTGTTTTAGTTTTTACATTTAAGTCTTTAATCCATCGTGAGTTCATTTTTGTATATTTGTATATTGTGTGAGGAAGGGGTCCAGCTTCAATCTTCTGCATATGGCCCAGCATCAATTATTAGTATTTTCTCTATTGCTTGTTTTTGTCAGCTTCGTTGAGGAAGATCAGATGGTCATAGAAGTGTGACCTTATTTCTGGGCTCTGTATTCTGTTCCATTTGTTTGTGTGCCTGTTTTTATACAAGTACCATGCTTTTTTTTTTGCTTACTGTAGCCCTGTAGTATAGATGGAAGTTAGGTAACATGCTGCTTCCAGCTTTGTTCTTTTGGCTTAGTATTACCTCAGCTATTCTGATTCTTTTTTGGTTCCTTATGAATTTTAAAATATATTTTTTTTCTGGTTCTGTGAAGAATGTCATTAGTAAATTGATAGGAATACCATTGAGCTAGAAAATTGCTTTGGGCAGTATGGCCATTTGAATGAAATTGATTTTTCCTGTTTGACATGGTTTGGCTCTGTGTCCCTACCCAAATGTCATTTCAAATTGTAATCCCCACATGTTCAGGGAGGGAGCTGGTAATCCCCACATGTTGAGGGTGAACCAGGTCCCACCTGGTTTGATTGGAATAGCATTGAGCGAACAAGATGCCTGTTTCACCTTTGCCTTGCTCCACGATTATAAGTTTCCTGAGACTGCCCAATCACGCAGAACTGTCAGTCAGTTAAACCTCCTCTCTTTATTAATTACCCTCAAGTGGTATATTTATAACAGTGTGAGAACAGACTAATACAGATAATTGATACTGAGAGTTGGGTACTGCTACAAAGATAAACTGAAAATGTGGAAGCAACTTTGGAACTGGGTAACAGGCAGAATTTGGAACAATTTGAAGGGCTCAGGAGAAGACAGAAAGATGTGGAAAAGTTTGGAACTTCCGAGAGCCTTGTTGAATGGTTTTGACCAAAAGGCTGATAGTGATATGGCCAGTGCAGCTCAGACTGAGGTGGTCTCAGAGACTGGTGGCATTTGCCCCTGTCCTAGAGATCTGTGGAACTTTGAACTTGAGAGAGATTATTTAGGGTATCTGGCGGAAGATATTTCTAAGCAGCAAAGCATTCAAGATGTGACCTGGCTGATCCTGAAAACATTCAGTTATATGCAGAACTGCGAGTCAATTAAACTCATTTTATTTATAAATTACCCAGTCCCAAGTTCTTTATAGTGGTGTGAAAATGGACTAATATACCATTCGTGAACATGGAACATTTTTTCCATTTGTTTGTGTCTTCTCTGGTTTCTTTGAGCAGTGTTTTGTATTTCTCATTGTACAGAACTTTCATCTCCCTAGTTAGCTGTATTTATGGATATTTTATTCTTTTTGTGGTAATTGTGAACAGGATTGCTTTTCTGATTTGGCTCTCACTTTTGCTCTTGTTGGTGTATAGGAAAGCTGCCTTCCTCCTGATCTGGCCATGTGAAGGCATGTCTTGCTTCCCTTTTGCCTTCTGCCATGATTGTAAAATTTATGAGGCCTCCCCAGTCATGCTAAACTGGGAGTCATTTAAATCTCTGGAATTACGCAGTCTCAGGTATGTCTTTATTAGCAGCACAAGAACAAACTAATACAGTAAATTTGTACCAGGTAGTGGGTCGCTCTTGTAAAGGTATTTGAAAATGTGGAAGCAACTTTGGAATTAGGTAACAAGTAGAAATTGGAACAGTTTGGAGGGCTCAGAAAAAGACAGGAAAATGTGAGAAAGTTTGTAACTTCCTACCATCTTGGAGGGCTCAGACAACAGGAAGATGTGGGAAAGTTTGTAACTTCCTAGAGTCTTGTGGAATGGCTTTGACCAAAATGCTGAAAGTAATATGGACTATAAAGTCCAGGCTGAGGTGGTCTCAGATAGAGATGAGGAACTTGTTGGGAATTGGAGTAAAGGTCACTTTTGCTATGTAAAGAGATTGACAGCATTTTGCCCCTGCCCTAGAGATCTCTGGGACTTTGACCATGAGAGAGATGATTTAGGGTATCAAGCAGAAGAAATTTCTAATCAGCAAAGCGTTCAAGAGGAGGCAGAGAATAAAAGCTTAACAAATTTGCAGCCTGATGATGCAGTAGGGAGAAATTTGAACCTACTGTAGAAATTTGCATAAGTAACGAGAAGCCAAATGCTAATCTACAAGACAATGGAAGAAATGTCTCCAAGTCAGGTCAGAGACCTTCATGGGAGCCTGACTAATTACAGGCCTGGAGATGTAGGATGAAAAAATGGTTTTCTGGGCTGGGCCCAGGGCCCCAGTGCTGTGTGCAGCCTAGGGGCTTGGTATCCTGCATCCTAGCCACTCCAGCTGTGGCTAAAATAGACTAAGGTACAGCTCAGGCCATGGCTTCAGAGGCTGAAAGCCCCAAGTCTTGACAGCATGCACATGGTACTGAGCCTGCAAGTGCACAGAAGTCAAGAATTGAGGTTTGGAAACCTCCTCCTAGATTTCAGAGAATGTATGGAAATGCTTCCATGTCCAGGCAGAAGTCTGCTGCAGGGGTGAGGCCCTCATGGATAACCAATGTGGGGTCAGAGGCTCCACACAGAGTCCCCCACTGGGGCACTGCTAAGTGGAGATGTGAGAAGACGGCCACCATCCTCCTGACCCCAGACTGGTAGGTCGAATGACAGCTTGCATCATGCACCTGGAAAATCTGGTCTCTTTCATGAGACCAGCTCATGAAAGCAGCTAGAATGGGAGCTATACCCTGCAAAGCTATAGAAGTGGGGCTGCCTAAGCCCAAAGGAGCCCACCTCTTGCATCAGTGTGACCTGGATATGAAACATGGAGTCAAAGGAGATCATTTTAGAATTTTAAGGTTTAATGAATGACTTACTGGATTTTGAACTTGTGTGGGGCCTGTAGCGTCTTCATTTTGGCCAGTTTCTCCCATTTGAAATCAGTGTATTTACCCAATTTTTGTACCTCCATTGTATCTAGGAAGTATCTAACTTGCTTTTGATTTTATGGGCTCACAGGTGGGAAGGGACTTGCCTTGTCTCAGGTGAGACTTTGGACTTGGACTTTTGAGTTAATGCTGGAATGAATTAAGACTTTGGGGGACTTTTGGGAAGGCATGATTGTATTTAGAAATGCGAGAACATGAGATTTGGGAGGGGCCAGAGGCAGAATGATATGGTTTGGCTTTGTCTCCACCCAAGTCTCATCTTGAATTGTAGATCCCATAATCCCCACATGTCATGGGAGGAACCTGGTGGGAAGTAATTGAATCATGGGGGCAATTCCTTTATACTATTCTCATGATAGTGAGTTCTCATGAGACCTGATGGTTTTATAAGGAGCTTCCCCCCTCACTCAGCTCTCATTCTTCCCTCTCCTGCCACCATGTGAAGAAGGACATGTTTGTTTCCCTTCGACCGTGATGGTAAGTTTTCTGAGGCCTCCCCAGCCATGCTGAAGTGTGAGTCAATTAAACCTTTTTATAAATTACCCAGTCTCAGGTACTTCTTTATTAGCAGTGTGAGAACAGACTAATACACCTTGGGAATCATTAAGATGATTGCTATAGAATATACACAAAAGAAAGTGAGAAAGAAATTTAAGTGTCATAAACAAAAACTCAAGATAAAAGTAGACAGCAATGCAGAATGTAAAGATCAAAATGGTTATAAGGAATATAGGAAACACCTAGCAAAATGGCAGATATAAGGCCATATTTATCAGTAATTACTTTAAATGTATTACACTCTTCAATCAAAAGACAGAGATTAGAAGAATAGCTTAAAAAAAATACTTAGTTGGTTGTGGTGGCACACACCTGTAATCCCAGCTACTTGGGAGGCTGAGGCTGGAGAATCATTTGAACCCAGGAAGTGGAGATTGCAGTGAGCTGAGATAATGACACTGCACTCCAGCCTGGGTGACAGAGTGAGAATCCATCTCAAAAAAAAAAAAAAAAAAGAAAAGAAAAAAGAAAGAAAAAAAAATATGGCACCAAAAAGCACAAGCAACAAAGAAAAAATAAGTAACTTTGACTACATTAAAATTAAAAAAAAAAACTTTAAAAGAAACAAACAAACAAAAAAACACAGAAGGAAACTATATCCTGCCTACAGGAGACTATTTTAAATCCAAACACACAAGTAGATTGAAAATGAAAGGATGGAAAGATATTACATGAAAATTGTACACAAAAGAGAGTAGAAGTGGCTATGCTATCAAACAATATGTATTTTATATTGGAATTTTTTTTTTTTGAGATGGAGTCTCACCCTGTCACCCAGAATGGAGTGCAATGGCGCAATCTCAGCTCACTGCAACCTCCACCTCACAGGTTCAAATGATTCTCCTGCCTCAGTCTTTCAAGTAGCTGGAATTACAGGCACCAGCCACCATGCCCAGCTAATTTTTGTATTTTTAGCAGAGACAAGGTTTTACCATGCTGGCCAGGCTGGTCTCGGGCTCCTGAACTCGTGATCCACCTGCCTCGGCCTCCCAAAGTGGTGAGATTACAGGTGTGAGCCATGGCAAAAAGTTCATGAGTAACAATGAAGAACATTACCTATTAATAAAACATTCAAATGTAGCAAGAATATGTATCAATTATAAATATTTAGGCACCTAATTGCAGGCTATCAAAATATATAAAGCAAAATGAACAGAATTAAAGGGCAAAATAGATATTTATGCAATAATAGAAACCTGAGTACATTACTTTCTATAATGCACAGAATAGCCAGACATGAGATGAATACATAGAGGATTAAAACACATTATACAAGAAATTAACTAAATCAAATAGAAATATACAGAACACTCTATTTAACAACAGCAGTACGCATGAGACATTTTCCAGGATACACCATATGTGAGGCCACAAATTAAGTCTTCATATATGTAAAATGAGAGCTTGCATACAAGGTATCTTTCTTAACCACAAGATAAAGTTAGAAATTGGTGACAGAAGCTAAACTGATAAAGTCACAAATTTGTGAAAATTAAACAACATAATATTAAACAACCAAATGGATTGAAGAACAAAGAAGAAATTATAATAAAATTAGAAAATACTTAGAGATGAATGAAAAATAAAACACAACATACCAAAACTTACGGGATGCAATGAAAGCAGTTCTAGGCATGTAATTCGTAATCATAAATGCTTCAGCTAAACAAGTAAGAAAGATTTGAAAGCAACAACCTAACTTTGCAACTTACTAACTTTGCAAGATACTAAAAACAAAATAACAAACTAAACCCACTACTAGCAGAAATAAAGAAATAATAAATATTTGAACATAGACAAATAAAAGAGAATAGAAAAACAGAAAAAATTAAATGTAACCCTAAGTTGGTTTCTTGAAAAAATCTCCAAAATTGTCAAATCTTTAGCTAGATGTACTAAAAAAGGAGAAAAGACTAAAATTACTAAAATAAGAAATGAAAGTGGAACATTACTTTGCATTATACAGAAATAAAATGTATTATAAGAGGGTATTATGAATAATTATACACTAACAAATTCAATAATCTAGATGAAACTGATGAATTCTTAGAAATACTAAAGCTACCAAAAGTAAATTATGAAGAAATAGAAAATCTAAACAGACCTAAAATTAGTGCAGATATTGAATCAGTTAAAAAAGACAAAAAAAAAAAAAAACCCAAAAAACAAAACTTTCAACAAGGAAAAAGGCTTGGACCTGGTAGTCTTATGGACGAATGCTCCCAAACATATAAAGTAGAAATTATTTAAGTATACCAATCTTGAAATATTTCCAAAACATTGAAGAGGAAGTAACACTTCATAACTCATTCTATGAGGCCAGAATAATCCTGACACGAAAGTCATACAAAGATAAGTCTTACAAAATAAGAAATCTATAGACCAATCTCCTTTATGAATACTGATGCAGAACTTCTAAACCAATTACTAGCAAACCTAATTCAGTATCATATTAAATGGATTATATTTCATGACCATGATTTTTCCTGAAATGCAAGGATGATTCAACATATGAGAATCAATCAATCAATGCCATATGCTATATTAACAGAATGAAGAAAACAAACTGTGATCATCTCAATTAATGCAGGAAAATCATTTGGCAAAATTCAAATCCTTTCAGGATAAAAATATTCAACAAACTACAAAATACTTCAACACAACAAAATTCTTATAGGCAGAACTTACATTGAACATCATATTCAACATTGAAATATTGAATATTTTCCTCTAAGATTAGGAAGAAGGCAAGGATACTTGCTTTTATCCCTTCAATTCAACATAGTACTGGATGTTCTAACCAGAGCAGTTAGACAACCAAAAAAAAAACAGACCCTTCAATTAAAAAGAAATAGTAAAATTATCTCTGTTTGCAGATGATATAATCATATGTGAAAAAAGTTCTAAAGATTTTACAAAAATATGTTGGAACTAATAAAGACATTCAAAAAATAAGCAGAATACAAAGTCAACACATAAAAATCAGTTGCATTTTTATGTACTAACAATGAAAAATCTGAAAAGAAAACTACTAAAACAATTTAGTTTACAATAGCATCAAAATGAATAAAATAGGATTTAGCAAAGGAGATGAAAGACATATATAATGATACTTCAAAACGTTGCTGAAAAAAGAGAATACATAAATAAAAACACATCCTGTGCTCATGAATTGGAAAACTAGCATTGTAAAATGTCAATACTGCCCAAAGAGATCTACAGATTGAAAGTAATCACAACCAAAATGCTAATAACTTTTTGTCATTAGGATTAAAATTTAAAAATCTATCCTAAAATTCATATGGACTCTCAAGTGGTTCTCAATAGCCAAAATTATCTTGAAAGAGAATATTAAGCTTGTAGGACTCAAACTTCTTTATTTCAAAACTTACTACAAAACTGTGGCTATAAAAACAATGTGGCACTTGTTTAATAACCACACATATAGATCAAAAATAGAATAGAATCAATAAATCAGCCCTGGAATATATGGTCAAAATATTTTGGGCAAATATTTTAAGACCATTTATAGGGGAAAGGATAGTCTTTTCAACAAATTATACTGGAAAAAATGGATATCCATAATGAAAAGAAGGAAACTATACCCTCATCTAACATCATACACAAACGTAAACTCAAAATGAAATCAGACTTAAATGTAATACTTAAAACTATCTTAGAAGAAAATACAAAATTAAAATCTTCATGGCATTGAGTTCAGCAAAATTTCTTGGATATGCCAGCAAAAAACACAGGTAATGAAATCACACAAAACAAATTGAAATAGAAATAAAATTGTTTTAAAAAGTGCATCAAAAGACAGTATCTATTGACGTATCTAAGTAAAATGTATCTAAGAATGGGATATAGTATTTTCAAATTCTATATCTAATGAGGGGTTATTATCCAAAATATATGGAGACATTCCAAAATATATGGAGACATTCCAAAATTTAAAAACAACAAAATAAACCAATTCAAAATAGGTAAAAGACTTGAATATACATTTCTTCAAAGAATATATACAAATGAACAATAAGCACATAAAAAGAGACTCATTATCACTAATCAATAGGAAAATGCAAATCAAAACTCCAAAGAGATCCCACTTCACACCCTTTGCAATTGTTACTATAAAAAAAACACAGAAAACAGCAAATATTGGCAAGAATATGATGCAATTGGAGCACTTCGCACCTTAGATGGGAATGTAAAATGGTACAGCCACTGTGGAAAACAGTATGGCAGTTTTTCAAAAAACTTAAACAAGATTCAGGTTCAAGATGGCTGACTAGTGATATCAAATACATGCCCTCTCCAGAAATAACAAATGTTATGAATAGATAACTTTATCTCAAATAGAACATCTAGGAAAGGACACTAGAGTCTAACAGGGAAGTCACAGGAAATATCTGAGGCACAGAAGGAAACAAGCAGCCAGTTTTCTGAGATCAACCAGCAGCCTGGAAGGGCTCAGTGTTTTAGGTAAAGATTAAGTGAGAGGACTTCAGCAGTCTACATCCCCACCCAACCAAAGGAGAACCCTTCTACTCACATAAACCCTGACACACGTGAGCAGTGATTTGGAGCCGCTGCAAGAGCACTGCAACAGACAGGAAACTCATGCTGTGTTGCTTACTCTCCTGCCCGCCCCCGAACTGAGACCTAAGTGGCTGTAGCCAGGTGCCATTGTGAGAGCACAGCCATCAGGGGACTGCATCCTGCCTGGAGAGCACAGCTTCCATATCTTCACAGTACTGACTGGACCTAAAGGTGCTGTGGGGTCCCCAGTATTCTAGCCCACAGGAAATACTACTGCCCAGGGAAATGACAGTACAGTACACCAAAAAGACAGCCCCTGGCAAAAAGAGATCCAAAGCACGTGCTTTCCAGAGCCTGAGAGTTACCTGTGTGGGGCTGTGAGATGTGGCCTTGCCTCCAGCAATGGCACAAACTCTGTGCTTGGCCTTGTAAGTGGAGAATATGATACCTTTCCACTGGTGCTGTAGTTTCTGTGCTCAGGCTCACACATATAGCACGAGACCTCCCCTGCCCCTTCACACCCTCACTGTAGACACAACAGCCACTGATGCTGCCACCAGAGGAAGGGGAAGAAGAGCTGGAGGGCTGCCTGTCTAGATATGTGAGTAGCAACTCTACACCCAATGATGGTGTGGCTTCTGTGCCTGAGCTCACACACGAAGGCCAAGATCTCTCTCTCCCTCTCTGCAGTGCTGGGGTGCTCCTGCCACAGAGCCAGAGAGTTGCATGCCTGGTGCTGTCAGTGGTGTTGCCACACCACAGCCACTGCCACTACCTGTGCACAACACATGGGACTCAGAGGGTTTTCCCACCACTGCTACTGCCATTGCCTACATCATTTTGGCTTTCCAGGGCTCCGAGAATATTCTCACCCACCTGGACCACTGCTGCCACTACTGGCATCTTAGCAAGTCACCTCATAGCCCAAGAATTCGGCCTTCTGGTTCTGCTAACATTGGTGTCAACATACAGCGCCTTAGGGCTCAAGATCAGGCATCAGCCTTGCTCAGCCCAGTGATGCCACCCCTGGGGCCCAAAGACTGGCCCACCTGGCACCCCTGTCCCCAGTAAAACTTCACCAGAGCCTCCACTAGTAACCACTTGTTAAACCACAGAGGAAATCACAAATACCACTGATGCTGTTGTTTATAGCCAAAAAAATCATACAGAGACTACACTACCACATGCACCCATAATCAAAACTAAAAGAGTCTATCTAAACAACACCATTGACAAATCTTCAGGAAAAAGTCCTCTCCTATGAAAGCAAATTTGAAAACTGGAAGAAGAGACTATTAGACCAGGTGTACAGATATCAATGTAAGGAAAAAAGCAATGAAATATGACACTTCCAAGGGAACACATTAATTCCTCAGCAACAGATTATAATAAAAGAAATTCACAAAATTCCAGAAGAGAATAAAAAATATAATACTAAAAAGCACAGTGAAATGTAAGAGAAATTCTAAAAAAAATACAAAAAATCGGAAAAACATTTCAAGATATGAATGACAAATTTATATATCACAAGAAAAAGAGAGGAACATAGAAAAGCTGGAACTAAAAAATTCCTTTAATGGAATACAAAATATACTTGGAAGCTTCAACAATAGACTAGATTAAGCAGAAGAGAGAATCTTAGAGCTTGAAGACAGATATTTTCAGATAACTCCATGAGACCAAAAATAAAAAAAGCAACATCTTTGTGATATATAAAATACATGAATTATTGGTATCCCCAAAGGCAATGATAACAAAAGTGTTTGAAAATTTATTTTTTGAGATAATAGATAAAAATTTCCCATGTTTAGCAAGATATTTAGACACCCAGATATAGGAGTCTCAGCAATCTCCAATCAGATATAATGCAAAAAGTTATTCTCAACAGAATATTAAAGTCAAACTGTGTAAAGTCAATGACAAAAAAACAATTCTAAAAACTGCAAGATAAAATTATCTAGTCACCTATAAAAAAGCCCCCATCAGACCAATAGCAGACTTCTTAACAGAAGTCTTACTGACCAGGAGAGAATGGATGGATATATACAGAGTTATGAAAATAAAAAGAACTGCCAGCCAAGGGTATTATATCCAGCAAAATTATCCATTACAACTGAAGGAGAAATAGTCTTTCCACGACAAGCAAATGTTGAGGGACTTTATTATCACTAGACCTGCCTTACAAGAAATCCTCAATGGAGTCCTAAACTTATAAATTAGAGAACAACAGTTATTATCATGAAAACACATGAAAATATAAAACTTACAGGTAAAGCAAACACACAAATGAGGAAGAGAAACGACTCAAATTGTATGACCACAGAAAGTCAGCAAACCACAAAGACAATAAGAGAAAAAGAAAGGAACAAAGAATATGCAAAAGAACCTGAAAATAAAAAGCAGTATGACAGGAACAAAACCTCATATATCAATAATGACCCTGATTGTAAACTGATTAAAATTTTCAATTAAAGATAGAGACTGGCTAAATGGATTCTTTAAAACAGGAAAATATGATTCAGCTATATGCTGCCTAGAAAAAATGCATTTTATCTGTAAAGACACATGTAGATTGAAAGTAAAGGGATGAAAAATGATATTTCATGCAAGTAGAAACCAAAAGTGAACAGGAGTAGCAACATTTATATCAGATAAAAATGACTTTAAATCAAAAACAGTAAAAAAAGAGACAGAAGTTCATTGCATAATGATAAAGCTATCAATCCAGCAAGAGAATATAACAATTGTAAATATATATGCACACAAATATTAACACCCAGGTTCATAAAACAAATTTTACTAGATCTAGTAAAGATCTGCCTAGACAGATCCTCTAGACAGAAAATAAACATTAGACTTAAACTGAGTAAAAAACATTTACAGAACATTTAATCTAACAGATACAGAATACACATTCTTTTCATCAACAAATGAAACCTCCAGTATTGACCATATGTTAGACCACAAAACATATCTCAGAATATTACTAAAAATAAAAATCATATCAAGTATCTTTTCTGATCACAATGAAATAAAACTGGAAATCAATACCAAGAGGAACTTAGGAAAATATTTAAATTCATAGAAATTAAACAACATGCTTATGAACAATCATTGATTTGATGAAAAATTAAGATGGAAATCTAAAAATGACTTGAAACAAATGAAAATGGGAAGACAACATACCAAAACGTGTGGGAAACAGAAAAAGCAGTGCTAAGAGGAAAGTTGACAGTAATAAAAGCCTATATTTTGTTAATAAACAGAAAGATTTCAAATAATCTAGTGATGCACTTTAGAGAACTAAAAAAGCAAGAACAAATCAGATACAAAATTAGCAGAAAAAAAGAAATACAGATCAGAGCATAACTAAATGAAATAGAAATAAAAATAACAATATAAAGAATCAATCAAATGAACTTTATTCTTTGAAAATATAAACAAAAATGCTCAACATCACTAATCATTAGTGGAATGTAAATCAACCACAATGAGATATTATCTCACCTCAGTTAGAATGGCTATTATAAAAAGAAAAGAAAATAACAGATGCTGGCAAGGATGAAGACAAAAAGGAACCCCTATACACTCTTGGTGGGGATGTAAATAAGTACAGCTGCTATCAGAATGGAGATTTCTCAAAAAACTAGTAACTACCATATGACCCAGCAATCCCACTATTGGATATCTATCCAAAGGAAATCAGTATATCAAAGGGATAGCTGCATTCTTATGTTCATAGCAGCACTATTCACAATAGCAAAGATATAGAATCCACCTAAATTCCTATCAATGGATGAATCAATAAAGAAAATGTGGTACATATACACAATGAAATACTGGCCATATGAAATTTGCCATAAAAAGAATGAAATCATGTTATTTGCAGCAACATGGATGGAAATGGAGCTCATTATGTTAAGTGAAAAAAGCCAGGCACAGAAAGATGAATACTGTGAGAGCTGAAAACCGTGATATCATGGACTGATAGATACCAGAAACTGGGAATGGTGAATGGGAACAGGGCAGGGAACAAAAAACAATGTGACAGGAACAAAACCTCATATATCAATAATGAACCTGATTGTAAATTGATTAAAACTTTCAATTAAAGATAGAGCCTGGCTAAATAGATTTTTTTTAAACAAAAACATGATTCAACTATATACTGCCTAGAATAAATGCATTTTATCTATAAGGACACATGTAGATTGAAAGTAAAGGGACAAAAAACAATATCTCATGCAAGTAGAAACCAAAAGTGAACAGGAGTAGCAACACTTATATCAGATTAAAATGACTTTAAGTCGAAAACAGTAAAAAAAGACAAAGAAGTTCATTGCATAATGAAGAGAAGTTGGTTATGGGTGCAAACATACATTACATGGAAGAAATGAGTTCTAATGTTTTCGAGCAGACTATGATGACTATATTTGTCAGCAATGTTATTTAATTTAGAGTAACTAGAAGAGCCGACTTGAAATGATACCAATATGAAATTGTGATAAACATTTATGATGATGTACATCTCGGTTACTTTGAATTGATCATTACACACTCTTTGCATGTAACAAATACTCAAATGTACCCCATAAATATGTAACTTATTATATATTAATAAAATAGGAAAAACTAATTAAAGAAATTAAACATGGAATTGCCATATAATCCAACAATTTAACTTCTCAGTTATACCCAAAAGAAGTGAAATGAGCATCTCAAAAAGATATTAATGTACACTCATGTTTACAACGGTATTACCCACAATAGCTAAAACATAAAGCAACTCAAGTGTCCATCAACAGATGAATGGATAAGCAAAATATGCTATATCCATACAATGGAATATTATTCAGTCTTAAAAAGAAAGGGGATTCTAGCATAAGCTAGAACATGGATAAACGTTGAGGACATTATGCTAAGTGAAATAGGCCAGTCACAGAAAGATAAATACTGTGCACAGTGACTCATGCATGTAATCCCAGAACTTTGGGAGGCCAAGGTGGGAGGACTGCTTGAGCCCTGGAGTTTGAGACCAGACTGGGCAACACAGCCAGACTCTGTCTCTACAAAAGGTAAAAAATTATCTAAGTGTGGTAGTGTACGCCTGTAGTCCCAGCTACTTGGAAGGCTGAGATAGGAGGATTACTTGAGCCCAGGAGGTCAAGGCTGCAGTGAGCCATGATTGAAGCACGGCACTTCAGCCTGGGCAAGAGAGCAAGACCCTGCCTCAAAAAAAAAAAAAAAACTGTGTATGAAATACTTAGAGTAGTGAAAAGCATGGAGACAGACAGTTGAATAGTCATTGTCAGGGCCTGGAGCTAGGGAGAAGTGGGGAGTTTTTGTTTAATGGGCATAGAGTTTCAGTTTTATAAAACGAAATGAGTTAGGGAGATGGATGACAATTATGGTTGAAAAGAGTTATGAATGTATTTAATACCACTGAATTCTATACTTTAAAAATGATTAAGATAGTAGATTTTATGTTATGCATATTTTACCACAATAAATAATAATACTTTAGAAGAATTTACTACTCTGAGAGATTTGGGAATATATGTGTGTGTGTGTGTGTGTGTGTGTGTTTGTGTGTAGAGGGAGAGAGAGAGAGTAAAATCATATACAGCAAGGACATTTCCTGGGAGAGTAAATTAATTAAATTTTTTAAAATTAAAATATTTATCAAGAGTTCTAAAGGTATTCAAACTATTAACAATAGCTATATTAGGAAACAGAATTACATGGGGAAAATGAACACCTACATGAACTAATGTTACACGTGTAATAGGAAAATTTGGCTATACCATATGTCCACTACCATATTGTATTCAGATAATATTTAAGGATAGTGGAAATTATTCCAATTCTGTATGGTTAATAGAGGAAAAATATAAACTATTTGTAATATGAAAAATATTTCTGTATACAACATGAAAGATTATAAAGGTATACACCACTTCTGGTTGAATAATAGTATTATGTGTAATGGGTAACTTTCTTATTAAAATTTTTTCATGCTTTGCAGATGTCTCATGTTTTACAAATCCAATTTTTTTTTAAATTGAGCGCTTATAAAATGCTTAGCAATGTGTTGGGAACTTCAGTTAAAATGGTAAAAAGCTGCTAATTATATTTGGTAAAATATACCATTATTAAATATTATATTAAAATTCTCTTTAGATGTAACGAAAAAGCTGGTTTGTATTTCAAAGGTGTGTATATGTGTTGCTATTCTGTTTTTGCATTAATTGACTTGAATTCAATTAATTTTGCTATAGTCTAATGCTTTTAAAAAGAAGGATTGATGTCAAACATAAGGAATGACCTCCTATTGGCAGAAGTTTTATTGGATGAAAGAACTGGGAACAATCCTCAAAATGTAGAGTTCAGTGTTACAGAAACAGCACTGGTAAAATAGATGTTTGGGGTATTTTTTGTTTGTTTTCTTTTGTTATTGGTTTAGCTATAATAACTTGCAGTAAGGTTTTAGAAGCAGTTCAGAGTTAGCTATTGTAACAACTCCTTTTTCAAAATTCTGATAAGTTAAATTTTTTATCTTTACTGTAATAAAGGATGTATCCATTTAAATACGCCTTCTTTTGTGAAACACAATTTAGTTCTGCACAATAATCTGAATCCAATAAAGCACACATGTAAGAACCATTATGCATTTCCCCTACCTGCCTCATTAGACTGAGCATACAAAAGAGATCAATGACTAGATGGAATTGACAAAATATGCATTTTCCCTTTTCCTGATGTGCTAAGACAGATAGAAAATACCGCTTTCGTTTTTCTGTTCGTTCCTCTGAAGCATTTCAACTTTCATTTCTGTAACTGTTATCACATTCAACGACTTCAACACACTCTCCATTTCACTAGCAATCTGTTAGTGATCTGCTCCTTTCATCTCTCCACAGATTTGTCCTAATGAAATTATTATGGCTAAACTGCTGTTCTTCATCCGCCTTTATTCCATCTCTATATGGTAATAATGATCTCATTTTATTTTCAGAAATACTGACACACAGCTATAGTTTTGAGTCATTATTTTTATGTTTCTTAAAAGAAAACAATTGATTCTCTAAATATTCTGTTTTGTGTATATATCGAAGGTGCATACAAGACAGTGGCGCTGCATTTATTCTGAAAGGAAGCAGAGTGGAGTGGTTAGGAGATGACTCTGGTTCCATAATAAACTGCGTTCAAATCTTCTCTCTTCTACTTATTGCTATGTGATCTTAAACATGTTGTTCAGTCTCAGTAAACATGCTAATTTATAGGTTTGCTATGAGCATTAAATGAGAGAATGCATATAAAGTAATTAGCTCAGTCCTTGGTACATGGGAGCAAAGCTAATGTTTACAGGAATAGAGACTCCTCTTATGACTCAAGGCAGTTTGTATGGATGCATGCAGCTATGTTTTACTTCAGTACATAGTATAGGTACATTTATGTATGTTACAAGTCTTTATGTGTCAATATCAACTACTCTTTTTTAGATCTTCTACCACCCTACCTAATTATGAAAAAAGCAAAGGACCTTTAATCTGTTGCAATTAATCTTTAGTAAACTTAGAAACCGATAATCATGTTTAGGTAAAGAATATTTTGAATAAATTAATACCATGCTGAATTTGAGTCTAAGGATCTGGTTTAAGGATAGAGGCATGAGGATACTCATAAGCTCTTTTCATGTAAATCTGATTTTTTTCTTTTTTAACATCTGTATATATTTAACAGGTATAATTGATGTTAAAATGCTTATATTATAGTGCATTAAAGTGTAAAGCTTGTTTTAATATAAGCATACAATTGTGACTATATCACATCTGTCAAGATGGATAAACATATCCATAATTCCCCCAAATTTTCTATTGCCCCCTTGCAATCCCTCCCTTCTACCCATATCCACCCCTACCATGTGCCCATTCCCCAGGCATTCACTGCTAGGCTCTCTGTCAAAATAACTTAGTTTGCATCTTCTAGATCTTTATATAAACAGAATCAAACACTATGTACTGTTTTCTTTCTGATATATTTTGTATGATTATTTTGAGATTTATCCATGTATGCTAATATTTCAATAGCTCGTTTTATTGCTAAATAGTATTCTACTGACAGATAAATACAACTTGTTTATCCCATTCACATATTGATGAAGGCTTAGGTTGTTTCCAGTGTGGGGCCGTTGCGAATAAAGCCACTGTGAACATTTGGGTACCAGTTTTGGTGTGAATATTTGCTTTAATTTCCCTTGAATAAAGAGAAATATATTGGAATGGCTGTGAGTAGAATGTTTGGATCATATAGTAATTCTCAAAAAATGACTCAAACTGTTTTCCACAGTGGTTATATCATTTTACATTCCCACCAGCAATGTATGAGGGTAGTTAGGGTAGAATTTATATTTCTTTTTAAAAATATTTGGTAGAATTTCAAGTGAAGCCTTGTGGACATGATGTTTTCTTTGTGGAAAGGTGTTTTAACCATACATTTACATTCTTTAATAATTAAAGGACTACTCAGGTAATGCATTTCTTCTTGAATGAGTTTTAGTAGTTTGTGTCTTTCAAAGATTTGTCCTATTCATATGCATTTATAGAATGTTGTCAATATTTTGTTATCTTTATTTTAATAGCTGTGTCACCTCTTTCAATATAAGAATCTCTCAATTCTTATGCTGGTAATTTGTGTATTTTCTCTTTTTTTGAAGGTTAATCTGACTCTAAATTTATCAATTTAATTGATTTCCCCACCAAACAGCTTTCATTTCATTGATTTTTTCCCCATTTTTCTTTTTTCTATTTCATTGATTTGTGTTCTGAGCTTTATTTTCTCTTTTGTATTTCAAATTTATTTTGCTTTTTTTTTTGTCTGTCTGTTTCTTAATGTGGAAAACTGAGATCGTTGAGTTTTTTTTTTTTTTGTCTTTTCTAATATAAGCTTTTGAAGCTATAAATGTCCACCTACAGACTACTTTAGTAACATTCCACAATTTTGGTGAATTTTTCATTACCATTCAGCTAAAAATACTCTCTAGTTTTAAAAAATTTTATCTTTTACCAATTTGCTATTTTAAAGTGTTTTTTTGTTTGTTTGTTTCTACATATTTAGGGATTTTCAGATTTCTTTTTCCGTTGCGTTACTGCTTACTCTTTTCTTGTTTACATTGCTTCTGATGAGATATCTACTGCCATCCTTATCTTTTTTCCTCTTTGCATAACATGTATTTTTGTTCTCTACATACTTTTAGCATTTCCTCTTCTGTTTGTTTTTTCATGCTTCTTGTGACGGGGTTTTGTAGAGATTCTGGGATCCCTATGTTTATTTTTTCTGCAATTGAAAAATAATTTTTCAAAAATATTTTTTCATACTTCCTCCCTGCTTAATATCCCAATTACTGAATAGTAGTCTGCCTAAAGTTGTCCTACAGCTCACTGATGCATTTTTCACTGTTTTTGTTACTTTTTTTCTGTGTTTTAGTTTGGATAATGTCTATTGTTAAGTCTTCAATTTCATATCCTTTTATTTTGCCGTGTCTAATCTGGCATCATTCTTGTCCAGTGTATTTAGACATTGCAGTTTTTCTCTCTAGAAGTTTGACTTCTATCTTTTTAAATTTTCCATTCTTAATTTTTTGGACATATGGAGTTCATAATGACTGTTTTAATACCCTTGTCTATTAATTCTATCATCTGTGTCAGTTCTAAGTTGATTATGACTGACTGAGTTGTTTCCTCATTATGGTTTGTATTTTCCTACTTCTTTACATGTTTGGCAATATTTGACCATAAGTTATATTTACAAATATGTTGCAAATTTTACCTTCTTAGGTGATGGATATTTTTGTATGCTTCAATATTTTTGTGTTTCTGTCAATATTCTTTAGCATTGTTCTGGGTCATAGTTAAGTTACTTAAAATGAGGTTGCTCACTTTGGGTCTTGCTTTTAAACTTTGTTTAATAAGACTAGAGCAGTGCTTACTCTAAGGTTAATTATTCCCTACTACTGAGACAAAATGTTTTGGAGTACTGTCTTCAATGCCTTGCGAATCGTTTCCCAATCAGCTGGTAGGAAAAGACACTACTCCTAATTTTATGTAATTGCTGGGAACTGTTTCCTCTAATCCTTTCAGATTGTGTCTTGGCCTTTGGCAGTTTAGTTACACAATGTGTACTCAATAGTACTCAGTTGAAAACTCAAGGGGAAGCCACTGCAGCCAAATTTACATGTTTGTACAGTGCTCTTCTCTCTGATTCTCTGCAAACTCAAGCCACCTTTTTCTCCCCAAATTTCAACTCTGCTTTCTTAATTCATTCAGTCTACTGTTTCCACCTGGGTTCTCCTTCCCTGCTGCTTAGCAAGGAAATTCTTTTAAGATGCTAACCTGGGGTAATCATAGGACTCAATTAGTTTGTTTGCTCTTTCTCAGGAATTACTGTCTTTTAGTTTTGACTAAACTAAATTACAGTTTAGTCAAAACTGTTTCATATTTTTGCATTTTTTTAGTTGTTTCAAGTGGGAGGTAAATTCCAGTTGCTGCTATTCCATCTTCTAAATCTGATTTTTCATGTGCATTTTGTTTGATTGTTTGTTGCATTTGAAACCAACACAACAGGGGTTAATTGTATTTCATTTGTGGGTCACTGGTTGTTCTTTGGTGTATGTTACAAATTTTACCATGTTCTAAAAGCACTGTAGACATTAGATTGATTTTTGTTTTTTGAAGTGTGGGTGCTACTTATGGCCATCTTTTGATGGTTGATTTTATGAATTAATAAAAACATATGAAGTTAGATGTAGCTATTATTAGGAAACATTATATTACACACAGAATAAATACAGGTTGAATTTTAAAAAATCATTTTTCTCAAATGTGCCATAAAAAATCTGAACTGAGAATTTTAATGCATTAGATATCTAGAAAAAATGAAAACTTTCAGTCACATTTTGTGATTAGTCTAATGACCTAGATATATAAAAGATATAAAAATGTGTACATAATTTACTAAATATTTCCATTTCTATCCAGAAATTTGGTATTGGCTATTGACAAGATGATCTTCAAGAAAATATAGAAAATATCTGATACCAATTGAGTTACTAATATTAAATATTCTCATTCTTGGTTTGAAGCAGCAAAAATATACTAGTTTCTGGAACTTAATCTTAGAGATAATGGTAGAGAATCTATAAATAGTTAACATAATTACAAAGTGCAGAATAATATTTACATACACCCAATAAAGATTTTTTTAAATTACACACAGATAGTAGCTATAATTAAAATAATTTAAAGGAAAGAAGAAAATATGAGGGACTGTATATTACTGTATTTGTTAAAGATGACCTTTTCCTAAGGAAACAAACATTTCCAGCCATTTGGTTCATTTCTATTTGCTCTTTCTAAAATGTGGATATTCATTTATATTTATTTAACAGTACTATTTTAGAAGAGCACAGATGATAATGTTTGGCATGATAACTATTTCAAGCCAAGAAGTAGTCTACTTAAAACTGGCTTCAGTTTTCTTTTCTGTTGTATATTTTTACTACATTTTCATAGTATGTTCTGCTTAAAATACAAACACACAGATGGCAATATACTGCTGCCAGCCATAAGGTTGAAGTATGTTTGTGTGTGTTGGTTGGGAAATATCTATAAAATGAAGTACTTGTAGACACTAAACAAAATCTACTCTCTGTAGATATTTTATATTATAGTTACAAATGGAGCACTTTAATGAGCACAATATATGCTTCCAAAATTAGGCTTGTTTACTTCAGTGAGAAATTATGCAGCCTTTGAAAGCAAAATCCAAGTTGCCTCCAAATTTTCACCAAGATGAAAGAATTTTGCCAACTATAATCTAAAGGGGAATGAAAAGAAAACCAAAAAAAGAAAAAGGTTTTGAGATGAAGCTATTTGATGTAATCTGATATACGTTTAAAATATGTTGCAGTGTCTGTGCATTTACTTAATGTAAACATAGCAACTTTTAGACAGGAACGTATACTTCAAAAGGAATCCTTGTCCTTAACCTGATGAAAATAAAACATGTTTTTTAAAATACCGGCTTATTTACTCATTATTTTCTAATTCAATATTGATTGTTACCATGAAGAGACAGTTCCAGAAAGAATCTACTTTTTTTCCTAAAACAGAAAACTAATTAAGCATTTGAGTACATGATTCCAAACATCTGGGTTGTTTCAAAATGATTTTTTTAAAAGAAGAAAGATAAGAAACAACTTCACTATATAAAAGTGATGCTTACTTCCATGGAAATCCATCAGTATAAAATTTGTACTCCAGATTTAAGGTATTGACAAATTAGATATATGGGGTAATTAATTCAATGGCTGAGAGAGAAACTACATTGAGAGATTCAGTGGACATATTGGATTCAGGCATTGTAAGTGTAACACTGAAACATGAACAAAAAATCAGATCAGTCATCTTTGCTAAAAATATTACTATTATCAACTTGCATTTGAACATCCTATAGTTTGGTACAGTACTCATAAAATTTAATAGTAAACTTTTCATTTTTATTCCAAATATTTATCTTTGTCTCAACAACAAATAATGCAAAACAACTCGTTGAGATATTTAACTGTTGCTTCAATTTCTTTGATTGTATCAAATATGTCCCTAGTTTTAAACGTCAAGTTTCATCTCAGAAATAATAAATTATTTACTTCTTTATAATGAACTTCTTCCTTGATTATCTGTTTTATCTCAGATTTTAGCTACACAAACTGTTTTCATTTGAGTGTGTTTCTGGTAACTAAAGTAGTTAATATATAAGTAACTAGATGTATCTCAGAGTAAAGGGTATATAGTAAGTATTATTTTGATGGAATTAATAATTGTTTAATTGTGTCTAGAGGTGATCATTCTATTCATTTAAATGTATGTTTTCTTTTTTCTTCAAGTTTTTGTTATGGACTATGTTCATTTCTGGGAGTTTGAAGAAAGTATATTTTAATCCTACTAATTGCAATTTTCCTTAAAGATCATTCCTCCTTAAGCTCAATAATTGACTCTGAGAACCATCCTGCAATACAAATGATGTACTGATACTGAGTTACAATTCAATGATAAATGTTAATTGGTAACAAAAATAAAAATCAAAAGTCAGCAATTTGTTTTTGCTTAATTTGGCTTAGTTATGACCTCTCAGAATTACAGAAGTAGGTAGGACATCTCCCCATCCTTCTACTGTATTTTTATTTTCACAACTTACATTGGTTTTCAGATTTAAGCACCATAATCAAACCCTGGAGCAACAGTTGAAGGGCTCAGAATGTGGTAGTAGCCTTAAAAGTAAGTGAACTAAGCAGTCATATATGAAATGATTTGAAAGACACTAAGGATTTTCCCCTACATCTCTGGAAATTCTACCATTAGGCATTCATTGCTTTGGCTAAATGGTTGTCTCTTCTCTGTTTTCCCCTTTCCCTAGGACTTCCCTTATGAAAGTTTACTCAATGGAGCTGATGTCACTTTGCAATGAATTCATTTATCATAGCATTTATCCATTGCAAAACAACGAGAGAGAGAGAGAGAGAGAGAAAGCATGGCAAGTCTAGATTCATAAGAAAGAGTAAAAGGAGGTGTTTGATAGCTGAAAAGAATAGGCAAGCTTTCCTTTCTGATAATTTTGTGAAATCACTTCCTTTATATGACTTAAAATTGGATTATAATATTTTTCCATTTCATTCTGTAAAACTGAGATAACTTTTGTATACAATGTGGCTATAAAGAAAGGCAGCAGTCCTGTGCAGAAGAGGAGGGCTATTGAACTGTCCCCACTATTTCTACCTCCTGTAATCCTGGCCCAGAAGGGAAAAACAGGCTTCATAAATTAATATATTTATTTCTATTGTATCAAATAAAATAATCTAAAATTAACCATTTCCGCCCATAGATACATGCCTCTTTTAATTAAGGCTGTGCATGATTATTTTAATCATCGTGATCATCCTCCTTACTATTAGTGAATTTTGCATCCACTTTTAGGACCACATGCATTGATTGTCAGCCTCTGTACTGATCCATGGAGGCAAACAGCCTCTCTGACAATGACCATAACCCTTATAATGCCCCTAACCAATTGTGCAGGAAGTCATTCTCTCCCAGTTTCTGCAATGAGCAACTTACTCCCTAAAGTGTGAGATTTGATACCTTTTCTCAGCATGTGTTCAGACAAATGTTATTATTGGTCATAAAATTATTCAGCCCAGTGACCTATGGTGACAGTGAATTTCACAAGGTGACTGCCTGCTGAGTGAAGCATCTCTTTTTATTTGTTTTAAATATTGTATATAATGGAGCTGGAAAAAAATAGGAAAATAATTTCAGATGTTTGAATATAGCGACACTGACATTATGCTAGCAACATTTTGAAATATATATCTGTCACTTGTGTTCCATTGAACGCAAGTGACAAATTTAGCAAACAGAACATACAAGATATGTAGTTAAATTTGAATTTAAGATTAAAAAGATTTTTAATATAGCTGTTTTCCATTCAATATATGGGGTATCTTTATACTAAAAATTGAAATCTTTTGTTACCTGTAATTCAAATTTAACTAGGTCTGTATTTATGTGGCAACCTATTTTTGAGGGATTCATTTTATCTGTGCTCCACTAAAGCTGTTTATATTACCATAGGTTGTCTTTTTCTAAATTACTGATTCAATGAAGGTTTCAAAAATGCTCTACACAAAGAAATGTTACAAGTTGTTAAAGATTCTCTTTTGAGGCACTCAAAAGTTTGCTAAGGTGAATGCTTGCTAGAAATATCTTAAGGTCGAACACTAAATCTATTTGTTATAAAAGGAAGAGAATGGTCAATAGCCAAGCAAACATGATTTTATTTTCTTTTAATAGATTCTTTTAGACAGACAGAGAAATGCTCTAAATAAAAATAACCACTTTCCTTTTCTCCTCACTTGGAACTATTCTCATGCATGAGTTTGTATGTAAAATTCATAAATGACTGGTGAACTGTGTCTTATTGCATCACTGAATCTAGATTTAACTGCTGCCAGAATGCAATTGTCACTATATAAGGAATCTGTGTTGCACTGGAAAGGTCATGAAAGCACCTGCCCAGATGTCAGCACATTGCAATTCTCCATGCTGCAATGCTGGCCGATAATCTGTGCAGAAACAACACACACACTGTCTTTCTCTCTCTCTCTCTCTCTCTCTCTCTCTCTCTCCCTCTCTCTCTCTCTCTCTCAGAGGAAGTTGCCTAGCAAGGAAGCTCTCTTGCATTAGGTACTCTGTTAGCCGTGAATAAAATCAGTGCGCAAACATTTCCTACCTTGACAGAAAAGGACATTTCATTCCTCTTAAGCAAAATTATTTAAACAAAGTTCTTGGAGGGATAGAGATAGAATTCCATGCATACCTGTGTGGGAGAAAATGGATTTCAATGACTGACTATAAACCCTTTTGAAACATGGCTAGAAACCTTTCTCTAGTACCTGCAAGATTGCAGTCAGTGTCTTTCGTATTGCCAGTGTCTTTGGTATTGTCAGTGTAAGATAATCACGATAGAGCCTCTTTGGAATTTGGCAGTGCAGATACTTTCAAGATTCCCTGGAGAAATCCTGACTCTTGTGTGTATTTTTTTTTTTTTTTTTTTGTCGAGTGTGTTCCCTATATCAACTTTAGCTATAAATGAAGAAACCAATAATTACTTTGAGCAAAGGATGCTGAATACTTCATAAGCATATAATAATAATTCCCAGTCTTGACTCAGAGTTAGACCTAAGGAGAGGCACAGTTGGGCCCCAATTACATTTTTTGTGTGAGACTTGGGATTTCTATATTGCTTTGAATCTACAGAATTCTATTTTAGTATAAAAAATGGTTATAAAAAGGAACAATGTATCACGCATATTGTGGTGGATGTTATTGAAAAGAGATGAAAAGCAGACTGACATCCCTTGCTATCAATGTAGCTGATGTTACAGAGGCCTAGGTATGTATGATGCTATATAGATCTGTGTGGAAAAGATTTTAAATAATCGTAATTCTTTTCCATAGGAGGTCGCAATCTGTAACCAGACTGTGGAGAACTCAACAGTCAAAAGAAGGCCTCCCAGAACTTAAAGTATAAGAAAAAATGTTTAAAAAAGAATTATATACACACATACACAAATAAATTAATATAAAAACTGGCAAAATCTAAATAAGTACTGTATGTAGGTTGTACCAATGTCAATTTCCTAGTTTCGATATTGTACTAGAGTTACATGTTACCTATAGAGTAAATGGGATAAAGAGGACAGGAGACTTCTCTGCATTATTTTTGCAACTTCTTGATCTATATTTATTTCAAATTAAAAGTTAAGGAAAGATAAAAAATAGAAAGAAATAACTAAATACCTCAAAAATTTCAGCACAAATGAAGAAGATAAATAATACTTTTGTTTACTTAGTCTTTGTTTATGAAAAAGAATGACTACAGCTAGTCTTTATTAAGGACATACTATAGGCTTTGTATACATCATTTCTACTGTCTCTATTGACATGGACAGGAGACAGGGAAATACTGGGTAGAAGAGGGCAGTTCTCCGGCAAAGGCCCCATCCTCGAGCCTGGATACTAGTGGCCCTAAATGAGAACAGGCATTCCTGTTTTCACACCCAAAAAGTTGCCTTTCAACCCACCACACCCCCTACCCTGAACCCATATAAACCCTGAATTCCAAGCTCCAGAGCAGACCAGCAAGCCAGCAGACCAGCAGACAGATAGTGGAATGATGTAGCAGATAAAGGGGGGAGAAGAGGAACATTTGAACACCGAGAGGAGTATGGCTGGGGGTGGTCAGAGAGGAGTCCGGCTACTGGACGGCCCAACTCCAGGGGAGGATCACCTACTCACTCCATCCCCCACTTCCAGTTCCCTGTCTATCCCGCTGAAAGCCACCTCCACCACTCAATAAAACCGCACGTTCATCCTTGAATCTATGTGTGACCCAATTTTTTCGGAACGCTGGACAAGATCTCAGGATACAGAAAGCTGTCACACTGGCCCTCTGCCCTTGCAAAAAGACAGAGGATCCATTGAGCTGATTTGCACTCAAGCCATCTGTGGATGGCAAAGCTGAAGGAGCTTTGTAACACTGGGGTTGCAGGCACCCACCCCTAGACACTACAACAGAGCTGGAGCCCAAAGCACTCCCCCAGACTGTGCACCTGCCTGTCTGCATGCTTCCCCTCCCACAAGGGGTTTGAGCAGCAGGGTGACCAAACAGGAGAGCCACATCCCTGCTGCATGTCCTGCAAGAGGAATGAGGAAACTCTCCTGTTTCACTATCATTGTTAGAGGTAATGCAGGTAGAGATGAAGTGTCAAATTGCTGTTACTATTTTACAAAAGAGTATCTGCTTTGAGTTCAGATAATACACAGATGCTCCTCAACTCATGGTGGGGTTATGTCCTGATGAGCCCACATAAGTCAAAAATACTGTAGGTCAAAAAATCCTAAGTCAAACTATAATAAGTACAATTACTTCTCAACTTTCGATAGGGTTACCTGCTGATAATCCCACTGGAAACTTGAAAAGTTGTTAAGTAAAAGCATCACAAATTGGGGAATGTCTGTGTTACATTATAGAATCAAGAACAAAAGAAAGACTAGAGTAACAAAAACAATCAAACCAAACAAAGCAGAAACATGCTTATAAATTTCATTGCACACACAAACACACAAATAAGTATTTGAGATGATGGATGATGGATATGTTAATTAACTTGATTTAATCATTCCACATTGCGTACCTGCATCATATTATCGCAGGTACGCAATTATCGCATATTCCTTTTTTATCCTTTTTTTTTTTTTTTTTGAGACAGGGTCTCACTCTGTCATCCAGGCTAGAGTGCACTGTGCGATCATAGCTCACTGCAGCCTCGAACTCCCAGACTCAGGTGATCCTCCTATTTCATTCAGCCTCCTGCACTTTGTATCCCATAATTATATACAATTATAATTTGTCAATATGCAATAAAATTAAAAAGCAACCCGGCTCTTTTTACCATATCTACTAACTGGTAGTTCTGAAGAGGTGACACTTTTGCCCCCCAAGAAAGATTTGACAACATCTAGACATATTTTTTTATTGCAACTCTAGAAAAGAGGGAGAGGAGTGTTAGGCAGCTATTGGCCAGAGGCCAGAAGTGCTTCTAAATATCCTAAAACACAAAGAACATTTCCCTCAACAAAAATTTGTCTGGCCCAGTTGCTGAGGTTGAATATGCCTATTTTAGAAGAAGGCTAAAGCTAAGTTACTTTGGTACTATGGTAATTTTATCATTAAGAAAGAGAAAATTATCTCATACTACAAATTACTTAGTGAACCATAGAACATAAGAGCACAAATATCTGCTATTCTACCTACCCAATGTATACTTGGGTAAACCTTTCCAAGTTACATGGCTGATCCTGCTGTATTCAATGCATTTTTAATTTATTTTTATTTTTTTAACTTTTATTATACGTTCAGTTGTACATGTGCAAGTTTGTTATACTGGTAAATTGAATGTCATAGGGATTTTGTGTACAGATTATTTCATCACCCAGGTAATAAACATAGTACCTAATAGGTAGTTTTTTGATCCTCTCCGTCCTCTCACCCTGTACCTTCAAGTAGGTCCTTCGTTGTGTTTATGCGTTCTCAACGTTTAGCTCCCACTTACAAGTGAGAACATGTGGTATTTGGTTTTCTGTTCCTGTGTTAGGTTGTTTAGGATAATGGCCTCCAGCTCCATTCATGCCACTGCATAGGACATGATCTCATTCTTTTTTATGGCTACATAGTATTCTATAGTATATATGTACCATCTTTTCTTTTTTCACTCTACCATTGCTGGACATTTAGGTTGATTCCATGTTTTTACTATTGTGAATGTTGCTAGAATGAATGTATGCCTGCATGTGTCTTTATAGTAGAATGATTTATATTCCTTTGAATATATATCCAATAATAGGATTGCTATCACTAACCATTAGAAAAATGCAAATTAAAACTACAATGAGATGCCACCTCACCCCAAGCAGAATGACTACATTAAGAAGTCCAAAAATAACAGATGCTGGTGAGGCTGTGGAAAAACGGGAATGCTTATACACTACTGGTAGGAATGTAAATTAGCTCAGCCATTGTGGAAAGCAGTGTAGCAATTCTCAAAGAACTTAAAAGAAAGAAGGCATCCTTGACTTCTTTCAGTTCTCAAAGGGAATGCTTCCAGCTTTTTCCTATGCAGTATGATGTTACTTGTGGGTTTGTCACAGATTGCTCTCATTATTTTGAGGTATGTTTCTTCAAAGTCTAGTTTGTTAAAGGTTTTAATATGAAAGGATATTGAATTTTATCAAAATCATTTTATGCATGTATTGAAACAATCATGTGGCTTTTGTTTCAGTTCTGTTTATGAAATGGATCACATTTATTAATTTGTATATGTTGAACCAATCTTGCCTGTAAGAGATAAAGCCTACTTGATTGTGGTAGATCAGCTTTTTGAATTGCTGCTGGACTCAGTTTGTTAGTATTTTGTGGAGTACTTTTGCATGTATATTCATCAAGGTTTTTGGTCTGAAGTTTTCTTTATTCGTTGTGTCTCTGCTATGTTTTGGTATCAAGATGATGCTGGCTTCACAAATAAGTTGGGGAGCGGTCTCTGCTCCTCAATTTTTTGCAATAGTTTCATTAGAAATGGTGTCAGCTCTTTCCTATACATCTGGTAGAATTTGACTGTGAGTCCGTATCTGTTCATGGGCTTTTTCTGGTTGGTAGGCTTTTTATTATGAATTCAGTTTCAGAACTCATTATTGGTCTACTCAAGGATTCAGTTTCTTCCAGGTTCAATCTTAGGGGTTGTATGTTTCCAGGAATTTATCAATTTCTTGTAGGTTTTCTAGTTTTGAAAGGTGTTGTCTCTCTGGGTTTTTTGTATTTCTGTGGGGTTGTTGGTAATGTCCCTTTGTCATTTTTGATTATATATATTTGAATCTTCTCTCTTTTTTTTCTTTACTATTTAAGCTGGTGAGCTATCTATCTTATTTATTCTTTCAAATAATTAACTCCTGAATTCATTTATCTTTTGTATGGCTTTTTGTGTCTCAGTTTTCTTTAGCTTAGCTCTGCTTTTTGTTATTCTTGTCTTCTGCTACCTTTGGGGTTAGTTAGCTCTTGTTTCTCTAGTTCCTCTAGATGTGTTGATAGGCTGTTAATTTGAGATTTTTGTAACTTTTCAATATGAGTGTTTAGTGCTATAAACTCCTCTCTTAACTCTGCTTTAGTGTTCCTGAGATTCTGGTAAGTTGTGTCTTTGTTCTCATTAGTTCAAAATAATTTTTTGATTTTTGCCTTAATTTCATTGTTTACCCAAAAGTCATTCAGGAGAATGTTGTTTAATTTCCATGTAATTTTATAGTTTTGAGTGATTTTCTTAGTATGGATTTCTATTTTTATTTTGCCGTGGTCCAAGAGTATGTTTGGTATGATTTCAGTTGTTTTGAATTTGCTGAAGATTGTTTTATGTCCAAATATGTGATCGATTTTAGAATATCTGCCTTGTGCAAATTAGAAGAATGTATATTATGTTGTGTTGGGTGGAAAGTTCTGTAGATATCAGTTAGGTCTGTTTAGTCTAGTTGAGTTCAGGTACCAAATATCTTTGCTAGTTTTCTACCTTTATGATCTGTCTAATATTGTCAGTGGGGTGTTGTCTCTCACTATATTTATGTGTGTGTGTGTGTGTGTGTGTGTGTGTGTGTGTGTGTGGTTTTCAAAGCCTCTTCATAGGTTTCTAAGAACCTGCTTTATGAACCTGGGTGTTCTTGTGTTGGGTATACATATTTAGGATGACAATTAGATCTTCTTGTGGAATTGAATCCTTTATCATTAGGTAATACCTTTCCTTGTCTCTTTTAATCATTGTTTATTTAAAGTCTGTTTTGTCCAAAAGTAGGATAGTAATGCCTGCTTTTTGCATATTTTCTGTTTGCTTGGTAGATTTTTCTCCATCCCTTTACTTTGAACCTATGGATGTCATTGTACATGAGCTGAGTGTCTTGAATACAGCGTACAGTTGGCTCGTAGTTCTTTATCCAACTTGTCACTCTGTGCCTTTTAATTGGGGAATTCTGCCTGTTTACATTAATATTGTTATATGCAGATTTGCTCCTGTCATCGTGTTTTTAGGTGGTGACTATACAGACTTCATTGTGTGGTTGCTTTATAGCATCATGGCCTATATGACTTAAGTGTGTTTTTGTGGGGACCGGTATTGGTCTTTCACTTCCATATTTATTGCTCCCTTAAATACCTCTTATAAGGCAGGTCTGGTGGAAATAAATTCCCTTGGAATTTGTTTGTCTGAAAAGGATCTTGTTTGTCATTCACTTATAATACTTAGTTTGAATGGATATGAAATTCATGGGTGAAGTTTCTTTTCTTTTAGAATGCTGAATATAGGCTCCCAATCTCTACTGGCCTGTAGTGTTTATGCTGAAAGGTCTGCAGTTATCCTGATGGGTTTCCCTTTGTAAATGAACTACCTCTTCCCTCTAGCTGCCTTTAATATTTTTTCTTTCACGTTGACTTTGGAGAATCTGATGATTATGTATCTTGGGAATGGTCATCTTATATAATATCTTGCAGGGGCTCTTTACATCTCCTGAATTTGAATGTTGGTCACCCTAGCGAGGCTGGAGAAATTTTCATAGATGATATCTGCAAATATGTTTTCCAAGTTGCTTGTTTTCTTCCCCTGCCTTCAAGAGATGACAGTGAGTCATAGATTTGGTCTCTTTATGTAATCCCATATTTCTTGGAGGGTTTTTCTTTTCATAAATCCTTTTTTCTTTATTTTTATCTGACTGAATTAGTTCAGAAAACCAGTCTTTGAGCTCTAAGACTCTTTCCTCAGATTGGTATACTTGTTTTGAGACAGAGTCTTGCTCTGTCACCCAGGCTGGAGTGCAGTGGCACGATCTCGGCTCACTGCAAGCTCTGCCTCCCAGGTTCCTGCCATTCTCCTGCCTCAGCCTCCCAAGTAGCTGGGACTACAGGCACCCGCCACCACGCTGGCTAATTTTTCGTATTTTTCAGTAGAGACAGGGTTTCACCATGTTAGCCAGGATGGTCTCGATCTTCTGACCTCGTGATCTGCCCTCCTCAGACTCCCAAAGTGCTGGGATTACAGGCGTGAGACACCACGCCCGGCCACAAAGTATTTTTAGTTTTGAAGTTTGAGCTATAATCCAGTAGATGGTGCTTAACCATAATGGCCTGTAGGTAGGCTCTTGCTCAGCTAAATGGTTCTTCTGCATTTTGTTAGAATTGCAGCACGCTCCCTGTGAGTGCTGCAAAGGTGTGAGCTCCTCTCCTACTCCAGTCCTGGCTGCAGATCTCGGCTTGACACTCCTGGGCTGCCCACCACACCCGTGGGGTTAGCTCAGGCTTTATGTTCCCTCCCCAGCTTAGAAGCCGTAGAAGGGACCTTGGAAGTTCTGTGGCAGAGGGCCTGTCCCTTGTCTCTTGGGGCTTCACCTTGGAGAAAAGCAGAGCCACTACCAATATTTGCAATTGGCCCAAAGTGGGGCACTGGCGTTGTGGGCCCAAGCCAGGGGCCTCTGCCTGGTGGTGAGCAGGGGAGCTGGTGGGGGAGACGGACTGGCCTCTTCTTATTAGGATGTCTATGGCTTGCTGGAGGTGTGGGTAAAGCCCTCAAGGCCTTTGTTCCTTCCCCTGTACCAGAGTGGCAAGGGAAGTATCACTGCAGTGGCAATGGCAGAGGGGCTTTTGGTTGCTTCTGGAAACTCTCCCTCAGAGAAACAGTTAATGGACACAGCTAATGGCAATGTTCAGCCAAGGGATGGGGTGGTTGCATTGCTGGACTGTGCCAGGGGACCTGCTTGGTGAAGAACAGGAGGGAAAGGGTTCACAGGGAGGAGGGACTGAGCTCCTCTCTGCATGATACTGTAGTGTGCTGGAAGCAAGAGTAAATCCCTCAGACTTTTTGTATCTTCTCCAGTCTAAGGGCAGCAAAGGCAGAACCGCTGCAGTGGTGGCAGCAGAAGAGCTGTCAGTTGCCTCTAGGAGCTCCACTATAGGAAAACACAGAGCCACTACAAGGGGAATGCTCAGCTGGGGGTAGGGTGGCTGCTCTGTGATTCTTAACCAGGGGCCCTGCCTGGTGAAGAGTAGGACGTAGCTGCTCACAGGGAAGGAAGACTGGGTTTCCTCTCCACATAGTGGCTGCAGTGTGCTACAGGTGACAGTGTAGCAACCAGGTCCCATGTTCTTTCCCCAAAGGGGACTCACATGGGTGCTTTTCTGTATAGAAGCTGTACTGTGCTGGGGGCCCACATTAGTCCTGATGACTGTACTCCCTCCCAAGCCTGAGGGCAGTAGGAGTGGGGGCTGTGTAGCTGTAAAGTTGGCAGGCCTGCTTGCTACTTCTGGGAGCTCTATTCCAGGAAAATGCAGAGCTGCTACTAGCCAGAGAGCCCAAGTGGGGGGTGATTGGGGCCCCAGGTCAGTAGGTCCTGCCCAGTGAGAAGTAGCAGGGATGGGGACCTGCCTGGAAAACAGCCTGGCCACTTTCCCATAAGGCAGCTGCACTGTACTGGGATCCACACTATTACCTAATCACTGTGCTTTCTCACAAGCCTGAGGGCAACAGGGGCAAGGGCTGTGGAGGAACAAAAATGGTAGCCTGTCTGCTACCTCTGGGAGCTCCATTCCAGGGAAGGGCAGAGCTGCTCTCAAGTCTGAGAGTTCAGGTGATGCTGGGGGGGCCATGCTCAGTTCTCAGGCCAGTGGGTCTTATATAGCTAGGTGCACTGAAGGCAGGCCTGCAATCAATCTGTTGCTCATCCCTGTGGATTTGGTCCCTATCCTAAGGGTGTGAGAGGGAGCCTGACCTCCCCTGTTGTCAGGGAGTTGCAGCCACTGGTGCCCCATTGCCTGGGGATGGGGATCCAAGGTTCTTGAGACTTTGTGTGTTCCTCAGTGGTGGCTCTGCCCAGACTCTATATAGCTCTCTGTGTCAGTCTGGAGGCCCAGATTGGTGGGAAGTTACGAGTGATCTCCTGAGCCCAGGGTTGCAAAAGTTTGTGGCAGAAGTATGGGTCCCAGGGACATTCATTGACTGTTTCCCCATGGTGAGGGGCCTCCTCTGGCTCCACACCACTCCTCAGTGGGAAGTTGCCCTCTCTCCCTCTTCTCCATTATCTATAGGTCATGTTGCTTCCTTGATGAATCTCAATGTGTCTACCTGGATGTAGTAATTGAAGAGCTAGTGTTTACTCGCTATTCTTCCTGCTCTCCAGTCAGAGTGGTACACACTAGGGACTTCTAGTCAGCCATCTTGGCTGGAATCTAAGTTTTCCTAGTTTCTGTTTTCCTAGTTTCTATTATCCAGCTGTTTTCTTTTACCTTCAAGAAAGAAGATTAATTAAAATAAATAAAACTGTAGTCATTGTATAGCCACCCTAATCAGGTTATACACACACAGACAAACAAACTTATCTTTTCCCCAAACTTAGAGACTTCAGTATTTTTCCAATCACCTAGAATCAAAATCATATACCTATTCATCCCATCCTTCAAGCATATTTCTTATTGTCATCAGTCTGTTTTTAGAGCCTTATTATATCTTTTATTGTATATTGACAATTATAATGTATGCTTTTTCAAAAGCTTTTCATTTTATCCAGTCTGGTCTACACACACGCAAATCCAGACTATGTTATTCCTTGGTTTAACAAACAAACAAAAAGACAACCTATGGATTAGTTTCAACTTCAAATGACACAAAACCCAATACAATAGTGGCTAAAGCAGTTCAGATTTCTATTCCATAAATTTATCTGGGATTTAGACCACTTCCAGGTCACTGTTTTGTCATCCCTACAATTTGGCTTTTGTCTGCTTGTTCAAGATGAATAGTCCAGACCCAGGTTTCTGGCCCATATTACACCCTACAAGAATGAGGGAAGGGCAAAAAAGGGCATGGATACTTTCTTTGAGAACACTTCCTGAAATTTGCACAAACTTCTGCCTTTTTCTCATCAGGAGTAACATGGTCATATAATGGCACCCAACTGCAATGTAAGCCAGGAAATGTAGTTTTTATCCTGGGTAGCCAAATTTTGGGATCCAGTTGCTAAACAAAGAAGAGGGGGAATGGGCAAGGAAAGACAGTCATGTCTCTGCCACACAAATAAGAAAGCAATTTCCCATTGTCAAGAGAGTAAATTTCAGATTATTCAATATAATAATTGAGGCATCTAAAATAACTATCACCCTAGTGCTTCAGCCTCCTTTTCCAGTTTACAATCTCTGCTACTGCCAAACTATAACTGAACCAGTTTGCTCTGATTCAACTCTATGAGTAACAAAATGATGAATTGCTTTTCAGTTACAAAGGACCACCAGGTTGCAAGTCACACAATCTGGGCAGGCCAAGATGAACCAAGTATACTTGATTCATGACCCTGGAGCCAGCTGGAACAAAGATAATCAATCACATGTGAAAACTAAGTACTTGTGTAGGAGATCAGTCAGGGTGGTGGGAAAAGTTATAAGAAAAGTTATAGGGAAAGACACAAACCTTCATGGAAGGCCAGGAGGTTTTGCGAAGCTTCAGGAGAGAATAAAAGCTGAAGGCAGCTAAATGATCTTACCCTGAGACTAAGGGCAAAGGGTAGATAACAAAGGAAGGTAAAGGAACTTATCTAGATAAACTTGTTTACTTTCATCTATGGAAACCAACCTTTGATCATTCCCATGCAGGACTGCTCTCTACTCGGGGGGTCGACAATGTTAATTACCCACAAATTGTGTTTACTCCAGGCCTTTGTCATTTAATCTGTACTAAATAAATAAAAATGGCTCCAGCTTATCGAGGCTGCACTCTCATCTGTGGTGCTAAGCTGTGCAGTCCCCTAGCCATGCTCTCAGACAAAATACCTGTGTCTGCACACTTCTTTCAGCTGTCGCTCAGCCAGAGTCTGTGGGACAGACTTGGCAGCTGGTTCCCCGTGTGAGGAATGCTGCAACGGATTGTGACAGCACCCTCGAAAATGAAGGTGAAGAGAATGCATAGTCAGTAAGTCATTGGTGCCCGCTCGGGATTTCCAAGTTTGAGGGAATTTTCAGGCTAGCGGACAACAGTTATCAGATCAACAGAAACAGTATATTGAAGTATTGAAACAGCTGCTTAAAGCTAGTGGAATCATGGTTTTGCAGGCTCAATTAAGGGACCTAATGCAACTGTTGTTTCCCATACTCCATGGTTCATGGAAGAAGGGATGTTAGACCTGGAGCTCTGGGAACAAGTGTGAATAAATCTTAAACAACATCATGCACAAGAGCAACAGGTACCAGTAACATCTCTAATGTTCTGGGACTTAGTTAGGGCTGCTTTGGTCCTGCTCTACACAGAAGAGCCTAAGAAGGGAAGGGAGGAGGAACCATCACCTACCTTACCACCTCCTCCTTCTCCCTCAGCACTGCCATTACTGGGTAAAGACACAAAAGAGAAAATGGAGATTTCCCCTGAGCCTCCTCCTCCAATAAATTGGAAGAAAGACAAGGGATACACTACAGCTATGGGACCCTGTCTTAGGCAAGCAGCATTAGAAGGGGAGCTCTTAGCCTGCCTGGTGATGCAAGATCAACAAGGCAATCAGGTATGAACACTGTAATATGAATTACAGGTATGAATCAGTAATATGAACCCATTACTTTCAACACTTATAAAAAGATAAGGAAAAGCATTAGAGAAAATGGAGACGCTAGCCCATTTATGAAAAGATTAATTAAGGCCATGGCAGACAACTTCCATATGACCCCATGGGACTGGTCAGTGCTAGCAAAAACAACTTTAAAGGCCAGTCAATACCTCCTCTGGAGGGCAGAATTTGATGAATTATATGAATAACAAACGCTTTTAAATAATGGCCCCTATTGTTCCTCCCCTACCCCTGATGTGGCTCTCTCAAAATTCTATTTGAGTAAAACATTGGCCTTTAAAGGGAGAGAAGTTACAACAAGCCCATGAATTAGTTGAGCAATTAAAAGCTGGCCATATAGAGCCATCAAACAGCCCTTGGAATTCGCCCATTTTTGTCATTCCCAAAAAGTCTGGTAAATGGAAACTTTTGCATGACTCTCACACTATCAATGCTAATTTGCAAGCTATGGGGCCCATTCAACAGGGGCTCCCTTCCCCTGCAGTGATTCTTTGAGGTTGGCCTATAGTCATTATTGATTTAAAGGGCTGCTTTTATACTATTCCCCTTGCAGAGTAGGACAGAGAAAAATTTGTGTTTACAATACAGCTATCAATAATGAAAGTCCAGCTCACCAATTTCATCAGAAAGTACTTCCTCAAGGAATGCTGAACAGTCCTACCATGTGTCAGTATCACATTCAGGCTTTGCTCCCCAGTAGAAAAGAATTTCATAATTGCAAAATTATTCATTTTATGGTGATATTTTACTAGCAGCTCTAACGGAGCCAGTACTTTTAAATTTATATGCCTCTGTCCAAAGGAATACACTGTTAAGAGGTTTAATCATAGCACCTGAAAAAGTAAAAATGTACTCTCCTTGGAAATATCTTGGATACATACCAACTTCCCAGTCAGTAGGACCTCAAAAGATTAAATACTAGCAACTTACACACCTTAAATGATTATCAAAAATTACTGGGCAATATTAATTGGCTTTGCCCCACCTTGGGCATAACTACTGATAAGTTACAAAACCTGTTTTCTATTGTAAAGGGCAATACAGCCCTAGACTCTCCCAGGTATTTAACTCCTGCAGCAGAAAGGGAAATTTAGGAAATAGAGCAAGCTATTTCTCCGACATAACTAGATTACATAGATGCACAATAGTCAGTCCAATTTTTTGTATTTCATACTAAACATTACCCAACAGGATTAATAGGACAGATGGCCCCAGGGCTGCACTTTCTAGAATGGGTTTTTTGCTCACATACCGGGACTAAAACACTATCTCCCTATATCCAGCTAGTTAGTAGAGTCATCTATACAGGCCACAGACAATGCAATATATTGCTAGGTTATGGCCCTGATGTCATAAGAATTCCCTTGAGTAAAAAGCAATTTGAAGCCATCTTGCTCTTATCTGTAGACCTGCAGATAGCACTCTCTTATTATGCAGGCCATATAGAACATGCCCTTTCTACTGACAAACTACTTCAGTTCTTATTTCATACTCTTGTAGTTTTGCCTACAAAAGTAGTTCACTCCCCGATACCTAACACTTTAATGCTTTTCACTGATCACTCTGGTAAAAATGGAAAGGCAACTATCTGGTGGTAACTGCATAACTCCCTCACTCAATCTGGATTTACTAGCACTCAGATTGCTGAGGTTGGATCCTTAATATTGGCCCTGGAAATCTTTTCCACTCAGCCCATCAATATTGTTAGTGACTGCTTACTCTGTTTATTTATTGCAGAACCTTGAGACAGTTCTCATTAAGTCCACTCTCGATCACACACTGTGTGCACTTTTTCTTCAACTTCAGCAATTGTTGGATCAATGTACACATCCTATTTTTATCACACATATTTGAGCTCACAGCTCACTACCTGGCCCACTGATTTATGGCAATGATCAAGCAGAGCTGCAGGTTATGACGTCCCTCCCTGACCAAGCCACCCAATCACATCAATTTCTCCAAAATTGCAGAAACTTATCTAAACATTTTCTACTCAGCCAAAAACTACCTAAACAAATTATTTTACAGTGCTGAGATTGCCAGCTCACAGGCACGTCCCCTCCTTCAACAGGTGTTAACCTTAGAGGACTAGAACCTAATAAGTTATAGCAAAGAGATGTTACACATGTCCTTGAATTTGGAAAACTAAGATATGTATGTGGATCCATTGATACCAATTCCCACTTAATTAGCACTCATGTTCTTCCTGGAGAGTCTTCCCAATATGTCATTAAAAGTCTTCTCTTAACTTTTGCGTTTATGGGGCGGCCCATAAAAATTAAAACTGATAATGGTCCAGCTTATATTAGCTCACAATTTTAACAATTTTGCGACACGTGGAACATCCAACATTCCACAGGCATCCCTTATAACCCCCCCAAGGACAGGCCATAGTAGAACATGTCCACTCCACCCTTAAAAATATGCTCAAAAAACAAAAAAGGGGGAATATGAGTAGGGACCCTGCAACACTATTGGTACAAGCAATATTTACCCTTAATTTTTAAATCTAGATGAAAAATTTCAATCAGCTATAGAGAAGCACTTTTCAAAAATATTCAAGATATACAACCTTCAGTTTTATGGAAATATGTAAATAGTAATCTATGGTGTGGTCCAAATGATTTGCTAACATGGGGAAGAGGATATGCTTTTGTTCACACCCCCTCACATCCTCTTTGGATTCCAGCACTATGCATCAAACCATACCATGGCATGGCTAGGACCCAACCTGGTAACAGAAATAAAGGAAATGACCCTGCGGGACCCATAGCCCTGGATAATGTGGCTTCCTTGGAAGACACAGGCCCCAGATACTACGCTAAAGAAGACTGCTCAAAAGACTGAGTGAACCCTTTTCCAGACACAGACACCATTCACTTCAGATAATTTGTTTCTTGCTATGCTCTCTGTTGTACATTGCAACTCTCATAGGGTATTAACCTTTCTTATTCTCTCACTCTGCCTACAACCCACACCTGCTACTGTCTATTAGGCCCATCTTCTAGATCCGCCTTTCTTCCACCCTGTTACTTGGGCAGACCTCTCACACCCCCTCCTCAGCCTCTAACAATGCAACTGCTTGGCTAGGAGGGATTGACTTATGCCCAGTAGGGTCCCTCATTAATGGCACACATTGGATTAAGGTGTCAAGTAACACTACTTGTCACTCCTTGATTGGAAAAGAATATTATTGTTTATACTCATGTTTGTCTCATGTTATTTACTAATTCCAGGCTGCAAAGCTGGAATAGTAGCAGTAACCACTACAGCAGACAAACCTGTTGCTGCACACATCTGTACTCTTCAATCAACAAAACCTGATGCAAAAAACAGGAAAGGGGGAGATGTAGGAGATCACTTAGGGTGGTGGGAAAAGTTATAAGAAAAGTTAAAGGGAAAGATGCAAACCTTCATGGAAGGCCAGGAGGTTTTGCAAAGCTTTGGGAGAGAATAAAAGCTGAAGGCAGCTAAATTATCTTACCCTGAGACTAAGGGCAAAGGGTAGATAGCAAGGGACTGTAAAGGAATTTATCTAGATGTATTTGTTTAATTTGTCTATGGAAACTAACCTTTGATCATTCACCTGCAGGACTGCTCTCTACTCGGGGGGTCGACAGTGTTAATTACCCACAAACTCTGTTTACTCTAGGCCTTTGTCATTTAATCTGTACTAAATAAATACAAATGGTTCCAGCTTGTCGGGGCTGCACTCTCGTCGCGATGCTAAGTCGTGCAGTCCCCTAGCCACGCTCTCAGGCAAAATACCTGTGTCTGTGTACTTCTTTCTTCTGTCGCTAAGCCAGAGTCTGTGGGACAGACTCGGCATACTCTGATGGAGGATCTGAGACTAAATTAAGAATCAAGGGGTGCTCTGTTTTTTGCAATATGAACTTAAAAGCCAAGAACCTGGCATTGCTTCTTTGCATGACCCAGTCAGATCACACATCGTTGCATTTTCCTGTCTCCCTCAAAGTTATTCTCTGCCTTGGAATCCTGCCACCAAACCTCAGCTTGAGGAGACAGATTTGAATATTACCTGCTCTCTGCCTTGGAAACCTGCCACCAAACCTCAGCTTAAGGAGACAGATTTGAATGTTATTTCCTATCTTCTTGCTGGTCAATCTTGCAAGAAAACTTCTTTTCTCAAAAGCTGGTGCCACAGCTAAAGAAATAGCCAACAGTGGCTGGGTGCGGTGGCTCATGCCTGTTATCCCAGCACTTTGGGAGGCTGAGGTGGGCAGATCACAAGGTCAGGGGATCGAGACCATCCTGGCTAACACGGTGAAACCCCGTCTCTACTAAAAAGACAAAAAATTAGCCAAGCATGGTGGCGGGTTCCTGTAGTCCCAGCTACTCAGGAAGCTGAGGCAGCAGAATGGCATGAACCCAGGAGGCGGAGCTTGCAGTGAACTGAGATTGCGCCACTGCACTCCAGCCTGAGCGACAGAGCGAGACTCCATCTCAAAAAAAAAAGAAAGAAAAAAAAAAACAGGAAATAGCCAACAGTGTGAAAAGACAACCTGCATATCTGGAGAAAATATTTGCAAACTACATATCTAACAAAGGCCTAATATTCATAATCTATAAGGAACTCAAACAATTCAACAATCAAAAAACAGCCCAAATACAAAGTGGACAAATATATGAACAGGCATTTTTCAAAAGAAGACTTAAAAACGGCAAAAAAACATGAAACCACAATGAGATCGCATCTTATACCAGTCAGAATGGGTATTATTAAAAAGTCTAAAACCAACAGGGTGAGGATGTGGAATAAAGGGAACCCTTATACTTTGTTGTTGAGAACATAAATTAGTACAACCTCTATTGATAAATAGTATCAAGATTTCTTAGAGAACTAGAAATAGAACTACCCTTCAATCTAGGAATATTAATACTCATATCTACCCAAAGGAAAAGAAATAGTCATATCAAAAAGATACCTGCACTTGTATGTTTATCACAGCACCACTCACAATAGGAAAGTCATGTAATCAACCTAAGTGTCCATCAACAGATATTTAGATAAAGAAAATGCTCTCTCTCTCTATATATATATATGTGTGTATATATGCATATACTGTCTATATATAGAGAGATATATACATATATCTCTCTATATATGTGTATATATGTGTGTGTATATATGTGTGTGTGTATATATATGTGTGTATATATCTCTCTCTCTATATATAGATGTATATATGGCAGCAACAGGGATGAAACTGGAGGTCATTGTCTTAAGTGAAATAATTCAGAAGCAGAAAGTCCAATACTGCATGTTCTCACAAGTCCATGTACACATGGGCATACAGAATGTAATAATAAACACTGAAGATTCAGAAAGGTGAAAGGGTGGGAGGAGAATGAGGGGTGAGATATTAATCACCTAATGTGTATAGTGTACACTATTCAAATGATGGTTACACTAAAATTCCAGACTTCACCATTACACATTATATCAATGTAACAAAATTACATTTCTACCCCCAAATCGATAAAAAACCCCACTAGATTAGAAATAGATAATTATAGCAAAGAAGAACAAATAGAAATTGAGTTACCTTAATTCTATTATTGTATGTGATCAGTTGGAGTTTTTATCTACTTAGAATGATAAAACATAATGCAAGCTGCAAAAAGAAAAAAAAACAGCTGGTACCATAGTATTGGCCTTTTATGCATGTCAGGCAGCAAGCCTATTGCTTGGTAAAAAGAACCTTCTTCAAATGTGCCATTATTGTTGTAGTTTCTTCTTTGTAGCCTTCCATTCTCATTATTTATTATTTTTCAGTAACTATACCATTCATATTTTGAGGCTGAGCTTGGATTTTAACCATCACCTCATTTATCTTCCTATTATTTCCAGGTAGAAAGAGTGTTTTTTGACTCTGTGTTCTTATAACTTTTTGTGTTCTCCTATTGTCCTGTCATCGGCAGGAAATTTTACACTCTCTTTTTCTGTCTACTCAAATATAAACATTAAGACTTGCTTAGTCAATGTTTTCATGCCCCAGTAGTCTTTTCTGAAAGCATTATTTACATTAAACAATTAATTAAATATGTAAACTTTCTGCTAAAAAAGTCCTTTGTCAAGGTTTGGCTACTGTGAATAGATGTTGAATACTCCGGAATAAATGCTTAAATTTACTTATCATTCTTTCAGTTAACCAACTTAGTATCTCTTTCTCCTTTGCACTTCTCTTTGACAGCATACCAAAAAAGCCTATAGAATGTCTTCATCACAGTTTTATTTTTGCTCTCTCTCAGCAGCTCTGAAGAAAACCACATAGCCTATAACACCCTTTCATGCTTTACCAAAAAAAGTCATACTTTTCTACAAATTTGAACTCTAAACTCAATTTCTGACTTCAAGGTATGCACAGCTGAATAAATGTAATGATGACAGTTTTCGCTGGATTAGGAAATGTCATATATTTGTTTAGGCTTCCATAACAAAATATCATAGACCAGGTGGCTTAACCAACAAAGGTTTTTTTTTCTCACAGTTCTGGAAGCTGGAGAGTCCGCGATCAAGGTGCTGGCATATTCAGTATCTGGGCAGGGCCCTCTTCCTAGGTTTAGACAGCAGACTTCTTTCTGTATCCTCACATAGTGAAGAAAGAGAGCTTTCGTGTATCTGTCTGTATTTTAAGGGCATTAATTTCATCACGATAATCCCACTCTCATGATTGAAATCAACTTTACTTACTTCTCAAAGGCCTCAACTCCAAATGCCATGACATTGGAGATTAGGTTTTCAACATATAAATTTGGTGTGGAAACAAACATTTAGTCGATAGCAGGAACATATAAGTTAGAACTGAAGGCTGTCTCATTTCACATTTCAAATCGAGAGTTGATAGTCATTTGCTTAAGGCATGAAGTTTAGGGGCACAAGGATAAATAGATTAGAGGAGATAAAGTAGGGGATGGATTTTTATTGTTCTCAGGTAAATATTGTTATTTATAACTTACAGTATGTCTTAATTTTCTGATTCATAGTGTGTGATAATATGTGTCCAAAGAAAATTGTTTTTAGACAGAGACCTAAATTTTTATAAAGACTTCTGCTTTTATTAATAGTTTAAAATTTTATAAAATGTTTTATAGATATGTGAATTGTCAATTTAAGTTTATACTTTTTCTAGATTAGGTTTTTAAAACTTGTTTTGATTATTGTATCCTAAGGAGACTTAATTCTTTTTTTTAATCATCCTCACCTTTATGAATTTTTTTTTTTTTTTTTTTTGAGACAGAGTCTTGCTCTGTTGCCCAGGCTGGAGTGCAGTGGCATGATCTCAGTTCACTGCAAGCTCTGCCTCCTGGGTTCACACCATTCTCCTGCCTCAGCCTCCCGAGTACCTGGGACTACAGTTGCCCGCCACCACGCCCGGCTAATTTTTTGTCTTTTTAGTAGAGATGGGGTTTCACCGTGTTAGCCAGGATGGTGTGGATCTCCTGACCTCGTGATCCGCCTGCCTCGGCCTCCCAAAGTGCTGGGATTACATGAGCCACCACGCCCGGCCCACCTTTATGAATTTTAATGCACCAGTAATGCTGTATAACCATGTATGCACTAAAGCCATTTGGAGGGCCACAAACCATTATAATATTGATATAGGTGTTAAGAAGCAATTACTTAGGCAGATAGGGAGGGTACTGGAGTCCTCAGTAAAGGTTTTCTTTTTAACGAAAAGCAGGACCAAAATCATTTTCTGACAAAGAGAAGCCTGTAAAATTGAGCTTCATGTATAGATGCTGGCAGTTGTGACAATCATGTTCAAAATGGCAGCTTCATCTTCCCTTCTCTCTTTGCCAGCCACTGGTACAGCAGTGAGCAGACAAGGTGGCACCAGTTAAGTGGAAAGCTTATTTGCATAATGAGATTAGGGTGGGGTGGCCAGCCTTCCCTGTACCCTAGGTAAATTTCACACCTGATGGAACCAATCTCTGGGCCCTACATAAATCAGACACCGCCTCCACAAGCCTGCCTATAAAATCGGGTGCATCCAGCACCAGCTGGTCTTTCCTTTTGGAAGCCCCTCTCTCTCACTAGAGAGAGAGCTGTTCCGCTTTCTCTTTCACTTGCCTTTTAAACCTCGGCTCCTAAACTCCTCATGTGTGTCCACGTCGTAAATTTTCTTAGCACAAGATGACGAACCCCACGTATTTACACCAGACAACTAAGCCACGTCAATATCTGGAATTTTTTTTTTCTCCTGCAATAACCACTTTCTCCTTCTCAGGGGCAATATTGCCCCAGTTACAAATTGATGTTCTCAAGTGAAAAAATTAAATAAAATGGCTCATATGTGTAACATTCTTTAAATCTAAACATCTTGACCTAGCACTGTGAGCCTTTCAAGCTCTTTCTTCAATTTATTGTCCAACCTTACTGAAGTGTTTTAAAAACTGTTTTCCATAGACAATGTATTAGGTGACATTGAGTTTGTGATTTTAAAGCTGGAGGGAACCAAGCTGGTATAAATTTGAAGGCATTCTCTGGGTGTCCTGTTACATGCAACTCTTATCTTTGCTGAATCTACTTCACTCAGAGTGGCCTTCCCGCTCCTCTCTGGTCTCTACTGGACATTTTCTTTTTACTCTAGAGAAGTATCTCTCATCTTTCCTTTTTCAGGTTATTATCTTGGAGTAGAAAATGGGTTAGTTATCCTGTGGAATGTCCCACATTCTGGATTTGTAAGTATGCTATTTTGTGGTTTATTTACCCTCTCTTGTCTTCCATATTTCATAAAATGAAAAGCCTTATTCTAGAGGTTTGGTGTTGATTCATATTTGACTTTTTCATTTTTTTTAAAGAAAGAACACTCTGAAGTATTATTATGTGATTCATGTTGGTTTGTTGCAGAAAGCACACAATATCCGATTATACTACTTCCAAGTATGATTAATCGGAGGGTTCTTGTAGCAAGAAACTGATACCCTTTGTATTAGAGTTTCTTAGAGAACTACACACACACACACACACACACACACATTATATATGAAGAGAGAAAAAATATATATCTTGAAAGAAAAGGAGAAAGAAAAAAGTAAGGAATTGGTTCACATGATTATGAAGGTTGACAAGGCCCAAGATCTATAGTCAGCAAGCTGAGGTCCCAAAAGAGGCAAATGGTATGCCTGCAGTCTGAGTCTGAAGACCCGAGAACCAGGAGAGCTGATGGGATAAATGCTGGCAGGCTCACAACCCAGGAGGACTCAATGATTCAGTTCAAGTGCAAAGGAAGAAAAAAAGCATGTTCTAGCTGGAGGGCACTCAGGAAAGAGGCATTCCTATTTTTCAAAGGAGGGTCAGCCTTTTTATTCTATTCAGGCTTTCAACTGATTAGGTCCACTCATATTAGGGAGGACAATTTTCTTTATTCAGTAAAATGTTAATCACATCCAAAAACACCCTTAGAGTGCACCCAGAAAAAGGCCTAGCCAAGTTGACACATAAAATTAGCAGTGGCATTTTTATTGTAAAATTATGTATAAACCTTGCATTTGTTGATTATAACTGTTGATGCTTATTGGCTGAATTAATCATTCATTCAAAGTTGCAAAATTGTGACTTCTAGTTTCAGCACCCCTTTTCTAAAGAAGGGATCTTTTCTTCATCAATTAGAGCTATTAGGTTACTCTGAAACACAATTCAGAAAAATCACTCGAATATTTAATTCTTTTCCTTTATTTGCCATGTCTTAACACAGGTGTTAGTTCCCAAGTTACGTTCAATGATGTCAATGAATTGTATTTGTTTTTTTTGCTTTTTCTATCTACTTTTAAGAATAATTATAAACTTCTGGGTTTTATTAGTGAATGCGTTTCAACCAATTGTATTCATCACTGCTTTTGATGCTCAAATTGTCCCTCTTTGGCTAAAAGGAGCCCCTTTAAATTGAATTCTGTGGGGTTTTTTTGTTGTTGTTCGTTTGTTTTTGCATAATCAGCTGGTATTTGGAAATTTTTCATGCTTTTTAGAGAAAAAATATTTACAGGTCTTATATATTTTCTCCCTCAGTCCTGAAATCAACCACTTGTCAAGGAGTTCTGGTTCCTTAATATTTAGGGTCAATAATCTGGATGTTGATTGTGTTTGTTACTACTAGGTAGTCATTGCTTTTAAGACCTTTTAGCAGCAGACACAATTAAAGATACACATCTATTTTAAAAGAAACAAATAGGTTCATATTGATATTTGCAATTCAAATCCAATAGAACAATATTCTAAGTATATAGAAGAGCCAACACATGTAATTTGTCATTCTTGCCTGGAAAGAGAAATCCATAATAATAGCATAGTTTTGGTTTTCTTTCCAACTCCTTATTTCAGTCTTCTTTGCATGTTTTTGGTTCTTTACTCAGGCTATAAATGTTATAGCATTTTAAATATCATTATGGTCCAATGAATTCCACATTTCTATTTCCAGCACAGACATCTCTTTTGAAATAAATACTTATGAGCTGAATCATTCATTCCTCTGTTCATTTCTTTGCTATTTATTAAAATCCAACTTTGTGCCAGGCATTGTTCTAGATCTTTGGAATACATCAGGGATCAAAGCTAAATGTAGTATTCTCTTGCTTTATTTTTTTTAACCATCTTTTCTATACATTTTAATTTTCTTGGTTTCTCTGATGTCTGGATAATTTTCTGAGATACTGTTACCATTATTACTATGAAATAATTTTTGAAACACCTAATCAGGATTTTTTTCATGACTATGTTGTGTGTTGACTCTCAGTAATAGGTGTTTATTTTCTCAAGTGTTTCATAATTTGGATTTTGCACTCATCTTTAGTACTGACTGCATAGAAGGATGTCATTCCAGATCAGTTTTACATAATCTATGGAACTTATGCACCCTAAATGAGTCACAGAGCTGCCACTAGTGTTTTCTGGCAAGGAAGCTGCCAAGTTTCAAATTCTAAGTGATGAGTTTCCTCTAAAAGACAAGATTGAGTTTTCAAATTCTCCAAAAAAAGCTTTAAAAATAATACAGATCTTAGAGAGAAAGATAAGCTCTGTGGTTATGTCCTTATTATATTGGGAAGATTATTTATCTCATTCATTTTTTATTCTTTCCCGAAGGCACAAATGTTTGTGTGCCCAGGTCACTACTCCCACAACCTCTTGGTCATTCAAACAAAAATTTCAGAGTACTTCAACAGAGCCTCTCTCCCCATCATTTTGCAGCTTCAGTGTCAACTAAATGTTTAATACTGTCTTTTTCTTGTATTTTTATTCTGATTATTAAACATTTAAGCCATATAGGAAGTATAGAAGAAAAGAAAGTAAATCCCCCAAATACCACATATGCAAATTAAACAGAAAATATCAGGGAAGTGAGAGTTTTCTGTGAAACTCCACTCAATTCTATTAACCTTCTACTGTTCAGACATAACCTTGATTACAAAATTATCACTTATAAATTCCATGGAGATTGTATACTTTCACAAAACACTTATATGCCCCAAAATATATTATCTTTCTATAATAGTAACATATAATGTATATCATTCTGAAACTTTAATTTATAAAAAATATGAGATTAAATCAATATATAGTCAGCCGGCCGCAGTCACGCCTGTAATTCCAGCACTTTGGGAGGCCGAGTCGGGCAGTTCATGAGGTCAGGAGTTTGAGACCAGCCTGACCAACATGGTGAAACCCCATCTCTACTAAAAATACAAAAATTATCTGGGCTTGGTGGCATGCATCTGTAATCCCAGCTACTCAGGAGGCTGAGGCAGAATAGCTTGAACCTGGGAGGTGGATGTTGCAGTAAGCGGAGATCACACCATTGCACTCCAGACTGGGTGACAGAGTGAGACTCCTTCTCAAAAAAAACAAAGTCAGTATATAGCCATTTATTTTTATATGCCATATTACATTTCATTGTATAAGCACACTACAGTTTATCAATCAATTTTCTTGTATATAGACATTTAGGATGTTACCACAATTTGATATTTAATGCCGTGATCCAGGGTACAATCTTATATATAAGTCTCCTTGTATACTGGGTTTCTCTAGTATTTATAACTAGTAATTACTGAGTCCTAGAGTACATACATTTTAAACTTTACTAGCTGTATTAGTCCATTCTCACACTGCTATAAAGATACTACCACAAACTGGGTAATTTTTGCAAAGGAAAGAGGTTTAGTTGACTCACAGCTCTGCATGGCTGGGGAGGCCTCAGGAAACTTACAATTATGGTAAAAGGCAGAGAAGCATGCACCTTCTTCACCAGGTGGCAGGAGAGAGAGAGTGAGCAGGAGAAACTGCTACTTTTAAACCATCGGATCTCATGAGAACTCCCTCACTATCAGGAGAACAGTATGGGAGAACCACCTTCACAATCCAATCACCTCCCACCAGGTCTCTCCCTCAACATGTGGAGATGACAATTTGAGATGAGATTTGAGTGAGGACAAAGAGCCAAACCTTATAACTAGCTATTTCTACATTACTCCCCAAGGTTGTTTTTAAAACCAGCTTACACCTACAAACCAACAATGCATACAATTTTCTATCTATTTACATATTTATCAACATAGTATTGTCAGACTTAAAATTTTACCAATCTGATTAATTTAAAATACTACTTTTTGTGGTTTCAATTTGTATTTTCCTAATTGCTGTAAGGCTTATCACTTTGCAATGCTTGTTTGTTTATGTAGTTGTCTATTTTGAATATCATCTCCTTTTCATTGCTAATTCATCTCCTTTTCATTGCTAATTCATGTGCTTTACTCACTTTTTCCATTAGAATGTTTATATTATTTAGATTACCAATATCTTCATAAATTCTTCATAAATTGATAAAGTAATTTTTATGCATTTTAAATATTTGTCCCTGAATTTTTTTTACTCAATTTTTGTCTGATTTTATTACTAACAGGTTTTTAATTTCAAAACAGTCAGATTTATCATATTTTTTATGGTTTGTACTTATATCATGTTTAAGAATTTCTGCTTATCCTGAGGGCATCAAGATATTCTCCTGTTCTTTGCACAAAAGTTTTAAAGATTAACATCACACTTAGGTCTTCTAATTCATATGAATTTATTTTTGCCCATGGGTTGAAACAAGATTCCAAATTTATTTAGTTCACGTAGATAACTATTATTGACTAGCTCATTATTTTCTCACTGATCTGTAATACTAAGTCTTTTATTTACCAAGTTTCCATGTGGACAAACAGATCAAAGATTCAAATCAGACTCACACAGACATAGATTCACAGACTCACACAGAAATATAGTTGACCCTGCATCAAGCTTTACAAATAATGTTAAGGGCATCAACAATTGGGAAGCCCAGGTAACATAAGCTACTGATACACAGGAGGTACTCTGGCCCTGATCATTATATGAGATCTCTCAGAAGAGTTGCAGTCACATCACTGACAAACATGACAGCTGTATTAGGTATGAAACACCTTCAGTTAATATATTAATGGTTGTAGTTCCTAGGGATCTATGGCCTCCAAAGTCACGGATTCCAAATTGGCTGTTCATAAGGCAACATAGAACAGAAAGTAGCATTTCCTTTTCCATGTGCTAATATTAATAATGTTGCATTAGAATGTTTCTGAGAAAATTGGATCAGATCATCTTCCTTCTTTCTTTTATGGAACCATCTCCCTCATTAGTTTAACAATGCATCTCAGTCCAGCTGTTAACCATTTCTTCCTACCATGAATAAGGAGGTGTGGTTCTGGGGTCCCTATTACATTCTACCAATCAATTTGTCAATTTCTACATCAAAATCACACTGAATTAATAGAGACACAAGAAAGTGCAGCACAGTAGTTAGGAGTGAGAGCTAGACTGACTATATTTATTCCTGGTTCTGCTATTTAATGCATAACCTTGGGCATCACTTTTCCACTGATTTTTTCATATCTTTGGGTTACTTTCAATACAAATCCATTAATGCATACAATTTCTTAAAACAGTACATTGGACTTACTAAGCCCTCAATAATATAAGCTATTGCTACTGAGGACTAAGCTCTGATTTTTTATCTCACCCTAATTCCTATGTAAGGGGTGTAAGGGAATCATGCCCTACAAACCATAAATTTTCATCAGATGGGTTTTATTTGACCCTATATATGGTGACTAACTCTCCAATTTGATTCTGGCATAACAAGGTAGAAAATCAAAATGTTTTACACCAAAATATATTTCCTTGCCGTACCTTGAAATTGCCCTGCAGAGTCTCTTTTGGGAAAAACTCACATTCTATAGGGAATCCTCTTTCCCCTTTGTTTTCCTTCCTTCCCAGATCCAGGAGATAATCAGCTAAGAGCCAGGCACCCTTTTAGGACTGATAAGAAGTATTTTACAACCTGCTCTCTCTCTGAAGTCTGCTATCTGAGAGATTCCTCCGCACAATAAAACTTGGTCTCCACAATCCTTTACCTTAACCTGAACATTCCTTTCCATTGATCCCAGGTCTTCAGATAAACTCAGCAAATTGTCAACCAGAAAATCTTTAAATTTACCTATAGCCTGGAAGTCCTGCTTTTAGTTGTCCTGACCTTCTGAACCAAACCAATGTATTTCTTAAATGTATTTGACTGATGTCTGATGCCTCCCTAAAATATATAAAACCAAGCTGTACCCCAACTACCTTGGGCACATGTTCTCAGGACCTCCTGAGGGCTGTGTCACCAGCCATGGTCACTCCTATTTTGCTTAGAATAAATCTCTTTAAGTATTTTACAGAGTTTGACTCTTTTCATCAACATTTCTGTCAGAGGCGTGTAAACCAGAGCAACTGCATCTCGAACAGGAACTGGGTAAAATGAGGCTGAAACCTACCGGGCTGCATTCCAGACAGTTGTTAAGGCATTCTAAGTCACAGGATGAGATAGGAGGTCAGCACAAAATACAGGTTATAAAGACTTTGCTGATAAAACAGGTTGCGGTAAAGAAGCCAGACAAAAACCACCAAAAACAAAATGGCGACGAGAGTGACCTCTCGTCGTCCTCACTGCTACACTCTTCCCACCCCACCCCCCGCCCCATGACAGTTTACAAATGCCATGGCAACGTCAGTAAGTTACCCTATATTGCATAAAAAGGGGACTCATGAATAACCCACCCCTTAAAATCGGCAACCAGCAGCCCTCAGGGCTGCTCTATGGCGTAGCCATTCCTTTATTCCTTTACTTTGTTAATAAACTTGCTTTCACTTTGCACTGTGAACTTCCCCTGAATTTTTTCTTGTATGAGATCCAAGAACCTCCTGTAACACTACTATTATGTAGTTTCATAAAAAGACTTCATATCTGGTAGCATGATTTCCTAACATCCTCCCTTTTTATGTCCTTTCTTATTATTCTTCAAAATTATATGGGCCGTGTTTAGTCTATAGATCTTCTGTATATATTATAGAATCAACTTCTCAGGAATTTCAGCTCAATTGTAATGAATTGATATCTTCTATGATACATCTTTATTTCATCATAGAATCTTTCTCAATTCATTAAGGTCTTTCATGACTTTTGATAATTTTTTAAATAATATTCTTCATAAAGGACTTATGTATATTCTTTGGATTATTTTTCTGAGTACCATGTATTATTTGCTGCTATGACTAAATATTCATTTTATTTAGAAAAATATATTTTAAGATTTATTTTTGGTGCAAAGTAATTAAATGTATTTTTGCATATTGTTATATTCACCAATTGTGTTGAATTCTCATTAGTTTCCTAATTTTCTGTTTTCTTTGATATTTTTGATAAAAACTACCATTATTTATGAACTACTATAGTTTTCTTTCATTCTTTCCGATTATTTTACATTTTATATATTTCCTTTGTTTTCCTGAGTTTTCTGGGACTTACAGTACATGATTTAATAAATTTTTCTTCTTTTACTGTTACCTATATAGTCTGAATTTGTTGTTGGTTAATTTCTTCTGCCAGGTTAAGAAGACTCTTTTTACTCATAGCTTTAATGAGCTATTAAATATGTTTTAAATGATTTCAAATATATTTTCTTTATATTCTGGATATGATTATATATATTTAAATTGTTAATGTAATAAATTTTGTTAATAGATTTTTGAATTATATACTATGTTGTATTTATGGATAAACCAAAATTAGTTGTGCCATATTATTTCATATAAAATACATACTGGATTCTATTTGCTAATACTTACATAGGATTTTTGTATCTATGTTTATAAATTCATGCCTTAAATTTATTTTTTACATAGTGTCATTCACTGATTTTGTATCAAGAGTATACTAGTTTTCTAAAACAAATTGAGGAGCAATTCACATGCCTGTTATAAGAAAAAAGTTATGGCTGGGTGTGGTGGCTTACACCTGTAATCTCAGTAATTTGGAAGGCCGAGGTGGGTGGATCACCTGAGGTCATGAGTTCGAGACCAGCCTGGCCAATATGGTGAAACTCCGTCTCTACTAAAAATACAAAAATTAGCCAGGCATGGTGGCACGCCCCTGTAATCTCAGCTACTCTGGAGGCTGAGACAGGAGAATCTCTTGAAGCCCGGAGATGGAGGTTGCAGTGAGCTGAGATTATGCCATTGCACTCCAGCCTGGGCAGCAAGAGCGAAACTCCATCTCAAAAAAAAAAATTACTTAAATTTAGTATTATCAACATCTTGAAAGTTTGGGAGAGTGTGTAATCATTGTGCCTATTAAGTTTATATGTAAGATAGTAAATTACTGACTCAACATTTACAATTGTGTTATTTTTAGTAAGTTACAGTTTTCTCATTTGTGTATTTTTTGTAAGTTTAACAATTTACTCATGGGAAGTGCTTCATACCATTCTTTATAAAAATATATGTCTCTAATTATGAGCCATTTTCACTATTAATGCTATTTATTTGTAAAATTTCTCTTTTCTTGAGCTAGTATACTACATGATTTTTAAAATAAACACGTCATATGAACTGGAATAAAGGTACATTCTCTAATTGTTTTGAACTGGGTTCTCATATTCCATTAACATGTTTGTTCATTTTTAAAATTTTCAGTGAAAAGTTTTAGTCTTACCTGTATATAGATACATGGGAAATTTATATTAAAATCACATACCACAATTATGGCTTTAACTTTTTTTGGTTATAATTTTCCTGAATTTTGGTTTTGCTTTATATTTTATAAGGCTTGTTATTAGGTGCACACAATTTCAGAATTATTTTATATACATGTGACTTCTTTTATCAATATGAAGTAACTGTCTTCATGTCTAATATCACTTTATGCCTTGATGTATATGAAGTTTGATATTTGTCTGGATATCTGATTTGCCTACTATATATTTTCATATCTCTTAATCTGTGTTTGTTTCCTTGCATTATGGGTGTGTTCTTATGTATTGTGTATTTTTATAAATATTATATTGATTTTAGCTTGCTTTCTTCTCATTTGAAGTCTTTTACATTTAACTGGATTAATTTATTTCTTCAAATTTATTGTATGGGGCTTTTGAATACAATAGGAGTATAGATTTCCTTTCGTATATGGGCCAAAGGTTACTAAATATATGTTGGTAAATATTTGACAACGACCTCTGAGGAAAAAAAAGAATGGAAGAAAGAAAGAAGAAATTTTGTAGTATTTGCCAATTACTGTGATGTAAATACTTCCATATGGTTGATTTTAAACTATCAACATCACTGAAGAGATGCTCATACAAACTCAGTGTTGGTTCACAGAAGCCTGTGTGGCCCCTGTTTTATCCACAACCGTATATCTCGTACCTAGTAAATTGCTGGACACACAGTAAACATTTGGTTAAAAATTGTTGAACAATGAAAAAAATCATATAAAGATGTGAGATTCAAAATAAAAAAGATAAAAGCATAAATCTTACTTATAAGTGAAAATAATTGGATTTCATTCCAAATAAAGATGATTGTCATAAAAATGCCAGTATAAAGCAACTGAAAATTATTTTTAAAAATTGTCGTGTATTTATTCATTTAATATCTTGGTCCTTGCAAGAGCTTCTGTCATAATACCGACATAAATAAACACCAATTTTTCTATCAGATTGTTATGTTATCATTTAAGTTCTCTTTAGACTCTATGTACCACCTAGGTGAATTACATTATCTTTGCAAGCCTCACTTTCTTTATCTGCACACTGGGCTATTGACAAGTACCTCACGTATTGTAGCAAGGAGTAGATGGGATCAAACATTAAATTTTGCATCACCTTACTTGGCATATTACAGATGCTCAAAGAATCTAGTTCCCTTTGCTTACTCTTTCAAACTAGTTTGGGAGTGTGTTGTAGTCATCCTTACACATAATCTGGAATACATTTATTCAACCCTCATTAAATTTTAAATATGTACAAAGTTCTGTGAGGCTGCTGTGTTTGGGTTCCAGGCATAGCGTATCAGTTTTCTAATGGCATAATAACTTTGTTGTAACAAACTATGCCAACACTCAGTCTCTTAAAACAAAAAGCATGTATTTGGCTTACAAGACTGCAGATTCATAATTTAAGCTGGACTATCATTCTGGCCTTGGCAGGGTTTACTCAACATGTCTGAGGACACACGGCTTACTAGTCGGAATCTGACACATCTGAATGTAGGCCAGGTGGAGGACAGTTACATGGCTCGCTCTTTCATTGTTTCAACAAGACAGATAGGCACGTTCTTTTGGAGGTAGCAGGAGTCAAATCTGCTCAAGTCACTCTTGGCCACTGCTCCATTGGTCAAAGCAGTCATACTTCCAGACCCAGAAGGGCACTGGTAAATGGCTTGGATAGAGGCAGGTGTGAACAATTAGAAACATTAGCAATATCTATATAACAAAAGTAGGATTCAAAAATAAAATTTTGCCACTGAGATTTAGGAATTCAAATATGCTTAGTATATAGGACATCTGTATAGATCATTCAAACGCAAAAGGGTATGAAGAATTTAGAAAGAAATGATGACTTTACACAGAAATAATCATGAAAACCTTTATAAAGAATTTGAAGCTTGAGATGAATAATGGAAGAAGAAAAAAACTCTCATTGGATGAAAATTATATAAGAGGAAAAACATGAGGACAGAACAAGTATGGTATTTGGAGGTGAGAGTGGAAAGCCTGGCTAAATGGGTTTGTGTGGGAGTATGTAAAATGCAACACCTCAGAACGTTTTGGATTAGGGTGACCTACAAATGCCAAGTCCAGATGCTCAGAATGTATTATTTATAAGATCACAAACAGCTTCTAATAGAATCTAAACATAAAAGTGCCCTTTATACACTTTTATGCACACAAAAAATTAAAATACACGTGACCCCTCAGAAATAAACCAGCGATCAGAGAATAAAATAGTATCATCTTGGATTGATGACAGTAAGTTAGAAAAGGAAAACATATGAACACAACCTTCATTTTAAAGGAAAAATAATAAAATTTGCTGAAAATTGTATGTGTTCACCAAATGAAAGGATGGAGGAGAGAGGGCTACGTTTGCAAGTAGACTGATACATCACCAGAAAGAGAAGGAGAAGCAGAGTCACTAGATGCAAAGTAACATGTAAGTATTTTCCTTATGAATTATTAGAAAATCTAATGGCAAATACACAGTAGAATTTATACTGGTGATTTAATTACTGATCATATATTTTTATAAAAACACAGTCAGAGAATTTCTATGTGTAAATATTCTAGAATCAAGTTGTTATACATTTTGTGACTAACAACTGATTGAGTGATATACTTTAAAATAAAACTTCAGAATGTTCCTATAGCAGACCACTATTTGTTGTTTTTCCTTTCAAGGCAAATATAACCGTGTACAAAATACATTAAATATATACATATTGAGAGTGAGCTATTTGTAGAAAGTAAAAAAATAAAAATAGTAGCTGGGAATGGACCTATATCAAATTATATATAATACATGAATAAATTCTTGAGATAATTAAAAAGAAAATGGAATCAAAAGCCTAATGTTATAAAATATCCACAGGGAATTAAAATGTCAAATGCATCAGACTCCATACTTTCAAAGTATAATAAAAAGTTGATATTATAATTTATGATATATCAGGATAAATCAGATGATTTCTGAGTTGAGTACTCAACATAAATACATTAAAGATACATGTCCCTCGACTATTTTTTCCTAATAGAAACAATATTACTTGTACAAGTGCTCAGCTAATTTATTTAATTTCATATTTTAGTATTAATTAACATATTTTTCAGAAATTCCATAATATTGGTAAATTTTCAGTTGAGAGATACTTTTCTGTCACTCAGCTAGGTAGTTTTTGTATAATGGAGAAGGAGAGGGAGAGATAGAAAAGTATTAAAATTATATTATATAAATTTGTTTCCAAATTTATTCACCTTGTCGTATATTTCTTACAAGTATATAATTTATAAAATTTGCTTTTAACTGCACTCTGACATAAATTAGAAACTATCTAAAGGTTCAGAATTTAGCTTGAGTAAAAGTATCAATAACATTCTCTCAAACACATTGGTAAACCTGATCGTTGCAGTATTTAACTTCTAATAGTAAATTTCATTTCGTTTTTTCTCTGTTAATTAATTAACCCCCAATACAAAAATTAGCTTTTCTTGTGCTATGTGTTCACATAAAGAATCACTGGTAAAGCAATACATTTCTACCTATACGGTGACCACATTTTTATTAAGTCAGTGCTCCAGGGCTTAAGGGAAGCAATTTGAGTTTTTGAGGAATCAAGCTCACAACTGTTATAGTAAGATTCAATCAGAAGTACCCTATCATTGATACCAATGTGAATCATTATAAGACAAGCTTCATTCTGAAATATAAAATTACTCTTTTCTTTATATTAATTTACTAGGTCTCCCTAAAATAGTACATGAATATTCTGTGTGGATTTAGAGCACCCCAAATAGATTCTGACATAGCATGGGAGACTGGAGATGCAACATTAGTATCTATGTTTAGTTGACATTTTAGGGTCAGTGAATAAATTCCATCAAGCCCCAAGTGTTTATTCTTGAGTTACTTCATGTACATTGACCTTGAGTCTACATAGCTTCTTAGGATTGCTTGCATTTGTGGCTTAAACCAGTTTGCTCTAGATAACAGTATCATTATAAAGTTAATTAAGTAAACTCTTTTGCAGAATGTTTTTCTCCTTTCTCCTATTATTTTTGTAAATTAATTGGTCCTTGTTTTAAATAATCTATGGCTGCAATTCTTAAACTTTTGTTCTTAGGAGCCCTTTACACACTTAAAATTTGTTGGAGACCCTGAAGAGCTCTTGTTTATATGCTAGGTATCTATTAATACTTACCATAAACAAGTTAAAACTGAAATTTAAAAATATATTTATTTTGAAATAAAAATAAACCCACTAAATGATAAATAAAAATAGACCCACAAGATGTTAGCATATGTAACATACTTTAATGAAAAATAACATTTTACAAAAAAATAGTGAGAAAAATAGCATTCTTTAGCAAGTATTTTAAAAGTCTTTCTTAATAGAAATTGACTGTATTCTTACAGTATGCCTTTCTGCATTCAATCTATTGGGATTTACTTAGAGATAGGGTCTTTCTCTGCCACCCAGGATGGAGTGCATTGGCACAATCAGCTCAATCAACCTCGAGCTCCTGGACTCAAGCGATTCTCCCACCTCAGCCTCCCCAGTAGCTGGGAGTTCAGGTGCCTGCCACACCAGTGTAATTTTTTATTTTTTGTAGAGATAGGTTCTTCTTATGTTGCCCAGGCTGGTCTTAAACTCCTGGACTCAAATGATCCTCCCACCTCAACCTCTTAAAGTGTTGGGATTACACGCATGAGCCACTGCACCCAGCTGTATTTTTTTTACTTTTTAATTGAAGTTTATGAAGAAAATTCAGCCTTACAGATATATATTTGGACAAGATAGACTTCTTTTAATTGCCTTTTCAGAAAAATTGTGGATATTATTACATGATACAACCCCAAACTCAACAAATGACGATTTCCAAAACTTGGTTGCAATGTAGAATTTGAAAGCATATTAATGAACTTTTCGCACCTATATTGAAATCTAGAGTATATTTTGCACTTTGAATGCATTTTCTTTTCACCCAAGCATGATTTGTAAACTATGTTTTGATGTTTTGGAAAATATTGGTGCATAGATATATGCAAATCTTCTAAGTGTTAAAATATTTCATGATACAATATAGAAAAAGTAACATTCAGCAATAGCAACAATCTCATCACTGCTCAGAATCTGCTAAATTCAAAATGTAAGGTACAAATTCCCCAAATCCCTATTTCCATTGGAAAATTTGAATTTATCATCAGCAACAATTATTATTTTTTTTCATTGATTATCAGGTTTTTCTTTGTTCATTATCAAGATACTGCCTAACAAACGCCCAAGCTTGAATAGCCATAGGTTTCTTCTTAGTTGCTCTTTCAAGTAAAAATGATATTCCATGACAAGTTTCCATGACAAAAGTTTGGTTCATAACTCAGACAATCACACAGGAGATTTTTCACTTTGTTATAGAGCAAAAGTGCTGTAAGTCTGTTTGTTATTTAGGCACTCAGAATATTTAAAGAGTTGTGATTCAAGAAGATTTAATAAGACCAATAACATTTCCTACTTAATCAAGATATTCTTCGATGAAACTGGATTTCTTTTCCTGCGTGTTTGTACAGTAACCATTAGTTTGATGCCACTTCTCAATTGACGCTAAGAAGCCAGCAGTTTAAGCCATCACAGTTTTGGCACCATCTGTGCAAATACCAACACAGTGAAAAGGCAAATAACATTGTAGAATTATTATAAAATTATTTTTGACTTCAAGGACCCTTTGAAAAGTCCTCCGTCAACCTCCAGCAGCACTAGTTGATCCACAGACTGAGAAATGTTCATCTATTAACATCACTTACTTATGAACACAGATTGAATTATTCCATCAGTGTTATCCAAAATTCAAATTATTTGCATGGTAATGTTTTCAGATATAAAATATGTGTGAATTCATAGTGTTTTTCATCATAATTTCTAAAATTTCAAATAATCAACATTGAGTAAATATACATTATGGAATATAGATAGCACAGCCAAGCATAAAAGCTGCTCCAAAAAAAGTCTACAATGTTCGCAAACTCTGAATATTCAAAATTATCCATTATCTATGAAATAAAAAATATTTTAAAAATATTCGATATTTAAAAAATTATCGATAATTATCAATTATCTATAAAATAAAAAATATTTTAAAAATCAAAGCCCATTTATTCTTCTATAACAAAATACTTTAGACTAGGTAGTTTATGAACAACAGAAATTCATTGCTCACAGTTCTGCAGGCTAGAAGGTCCAAGATCAATGTGTCAGCAGATCCAGCATCTGGTGAGGACTTGCTCTCTGCTTCAAAGATGGCAGCTTCTCACTTTGTCCTTACATGATTAAAGAGATACGCAAAATCCCTTGGTGCTTTTTTATAAGGGCACTAATCCCATTCATAAGGGCACACCCCTCATGCACTAATCATCTCCAAGAGGTCTGACCTCTTAATGCTGCCACAATGGAAATTAAGTTTCGAGATATGAAACTTGGGGAGACACAAACATAGCATAGCAGAACATGCATTTAATTTCGCATCTCTCAAAGTGTATTTTCATAAATGTGCAAAAGCTGCTTGGATCTCTATCTTTCAGTTGTATTTCTGATAATACGATATAATAGAAAAAGCATGACTTCAGTTCCAGGCGTTATATATATACACACACAGACATATATGTATATAAATATTTGATTTTCAGTCATACCTTTGAAGAATTTTAATTCCAGTTGCTATAGTCTGAATATGCATCCTCCCATTCATATGTTAAAACTTAATCCCCAGTGTGGTGGCATTAAGAGATACAGCCTTTAGGAGGTCATTAAGTCTTAACAAAGTGAAAAAGCTCCTGTGTGATTGTCTGAGTTATGAGCCAAACTTTAGGATAAAGCCCTCCTGAATAGGATTAGTGACCTTATAAAAGACATGCAAGGAAGCTGCTCTTTCTGCCATTTGATGAGGATGCAGCTATAGGCACCACCTATGAATCACAGAGTGATCCTTCACCTAATCCTGAATCTACTGGTACCTTGATCTTGGACTTCACAGCCTCCAGAAATGTGAGAAATACATTTCTATTATCTATAAACTACCTAGTCTGCAGTATTTTATTACAGCAACCTGAACTAAGACGTCAGTAAAGTCAGATTTTTTTAAGTTTGTGTTAAAATTTATTGCAAAATAATAGCAGTTCAATTGGTTCCTCCACCAACCCAAATTATCTTTTAAGCCCCCTTTTTTCCACAATATTTAAAATTAGAAGAATTTTATATTTTTTATGCCTGACTCTTTCACTTATGATGTCAAAACTTTTGTCATATCCTTATCATCTTTTATCTGATAGACCCAAATCAGAAAATATCATTTATTTTCCTTAGCAAAATTCTTTCTCTTATAACTTTATTTGTCATTTTATGACTCTTTTATAAAATCATTTTACTGATGGAATGTCCCCATGAATTCTACTAATGACTTAAATGATACATATTGAGCACATATTATGTATCAGGGACAGTCCTAGGGTTGAGAAGACCAAATGGCAAACAATTCAGTTATGGTATTTCATCTCCTAGAGTTTAGTCCTGAGACACAAATAGCCAACTAACAGGTAACTCTTTGTGTCACTTTTAAAATATTTTCAACAATTCTTTGACGGTCTTCTCTGTAAAAGGTGGAGCCTAATTCTCTTCCTCTTGAGTGTGGGCTACACTTACTACTCATTTTTAAAGTATAAAATAAAGTACAAGTGATGGTGTGAGACTTTGGAGAGTAGGAATAAAAGGCCCAGCAGCTTTGTTCTTTCACTCTTTCTTGGATTGCTCATGCTGGGTAAGCTAAACAGCCATGTCAAGAGAGCCCTGAAACAACTCTATGAAGAGAACCATGTAGCAAGGGATGGAGGCCATCTGCAAATACTTATGGTAGTAAGCCATCTTGGAAGTAGATCCTCAGCCACAGTCAAGCTTTCAGATGACTACAGCCCTTGCTGATCTCTCAATTGAAACTTGATGAGGGTCTCTCAGTCAAATCTCAACTAAACCATTTCCAAATTCCTGACACATGAAAACTGTTACAGAATAAATGTTCTCTGTTTTCAAATATTGCACTAAGATTTGAGGTTTTGTGTATTGCAGCAATAGATAAACACTACTGTAGCTTGGATAAGTCTAGTTGGAGAGGTAAGCACAGGATATAATGGGAGCTTGGAAGTGCATCATTTAAACCAGTGTAAGGTTTCTGAATGTAAGAAATATTTAAGCTGAGACCTGTTGAAAGAGCAGAGTTTATGTAGTATTACTGATTATTTCCTTTTGCCTTAGGCTCTTAGATGCCCCAGGAGATACTGTCTTAATTTAAAATATTGATATGTTTTTCATCATGAACCTTTAGTATTTATTTTGAATTTTAAAAACATTGTATTAAAATAATATTCATCTCAATTACTTTTTTTTTCTCATTCCCTTAAATTTTGCACTTGGGCAAGGTCTTCATTCCCTTTAGCCTAGTCTCAGTATGACGGAAGAAGATAACGTATCAGGAACTGAAATGTGAATGTTCAAAAATTGGGAGTCAAGAAAAATATAGAGTTTGTAGTGTTTTCATAGAGTCCCCACCACATATTTCAAAGGATTTCTTAGGTACTGGCAAAATTCACTTATCTTAGAGAACGGCTAGATTTGTTGTGACACAGAGGAAAGAAATTCCTATTTTATTCTTAGATTTGCTACTTGTAAATATATGATTTTTGACAAGTCACTTAAGCTCTTTGAGCCTCAGTTTTCTGCAAGGTGGCAACCATAAAGCACATGTCACAGGTTGTTGTAAAGATCAAGTAGGATGATAAATATGAGACCACCTAGTTCATTAGAGATAGATCAGTATGCAATTAATAATTCATTTAATGACTGCTGGCTTGACTCTTTTGATTATTATAATTGAGCTGAGAACAAAACCTTTGTGTTAGAAACTATTTCTATTTTAATATCTTACGTTTTTTTAATTGAATAATAATATGAAAGGTAAAATGCTAGCATAGGTTTGTGTTTATGGCGTACCAACATCTTAGTTTATTGTTACAAGAGAGATGCTATTATTAACCTTATTATACCACTGTGAAAACTGAAGTCCTGAGAGTTTAGTAAAATGCCCAGGGTCACGCAGTTGATAGAACTTGGATTTCCCTGCAGTGACCCCAAATGGAGAGACTCTGCTCCACCATTCTGTTTCACTGCCTCCCAAGACTTACCCACACACACACTCCTTTATTTGACTTAGAAAGCTCTTAATAGACTGACACTAATTTCATCTGGAAAATGCCTGCTTTGGTTTACTCTCTTCCCCCTAATTTTATGCTGTTTCAAAAAAAAAAAAAAAACCCAGTCTTTTAGAAGTAACGTTATCAAAGGCTTTAAAATTTCTAGATATATGACATTTACTGGTTGTCCATTTGACATAACTATTTAGTATTTCAAATAAATTTATTAGATTTCCAACACATATTTGCAGGATTCAAGGGAGAATAATATTTTTTGTTCATATATTTTTATTTTATTTTATTATAATTTTTTTGAGACACAGTCTTGCACTGATGCCTGGGCTGGAGTACAGTGGTGCGATCTCGGCTCACTGCCTCAGCCTCCTAAGTAGCTGGGATTACAGGCACCTACCACCATGCCTGGCTAATTTTTTGTATTTTTAGTGGAGATGGGGTTTCACTATGTTGTTGGCCAGGCTGGTCTCGAACGCCTGATCTTGTGATCCACCCGCCTCGGCCTCCCAAAGTGCTGGGATTACAGGAGTGAGCCACCGCTCCCAGCCAAGAATATAGACAATATAGAACAGCACACTGGCTGTTGAATGACTTGTCAAACTATTCCATGTGGTAGTAGTCTTGTCTGTAACATCCTAATAATTCTTCTTAAAAGTAAATGTAATACTTTTAAAAATATAACTCTAGATGGAATTATTTTAGATGTCTCATATTTTAGGACAACTCTGTTTTTTATTGCTTTGCATCATCCCTGCTTTCTTTTAATCTACTTTTATTGATATAAATATATATTTATACATTTATATAGACTTATCTTCATTCAAAAATTTTAAAGCACAATTTTATGTTTAATTAGAGTTCCTGCTTAAACTAGCAAATGCATTAATTTTTCATTATGTACTATGTTCAGATCATACAATGATTTACATATTGCACAGAAACGCTGCCAGAGGAATATATCTTCAGTCTACAATATCCTGTAACTATTGACCTGGGCTATGTTCAGCTGATGACTTTAGAATGGATGAATTGTTACTAGAATAATTAATCATGAATAGTGAGCATATAGAGGTTTTGCAGATATTGGCATTTTTCTCATGATCAAAAGTACTTGCTAATATTGCTATAAATACTTGGCAGACTTTCTTAATAAAACTTAATATTTACTATTACTTATATTTTTAATTCCCTTTCCTTACACCTGAATTTATGTTATGTTTAACAATGGTAAACCCTTCAAAACTATCCATAAGAACCATGTTCTTTATTGTATTTTAATTTCAATTGCCATTGCAAGTAATTTTACTAAATTGGTTATTTCAAGGTTTTCTATGTTCCAATAAAGTTTCTAACTTTCTTAGTGTCTATGACTAACTTTCTTAACAGACCCTATTAATTTTTCTTGAAATGTGTTGTATTCTCCCTAGAGTGCTAATGCACTTTTGTAAAGTGGTGGCTAGTACTCTACTACACAGAGTGGGGAAAACTGATTAATTGCTTTTAGAATAGTAAATGAAGCCTTTTAATTTAATGAATATTTCAACAGAACCAATTCACTTTGTCTCTCTAAAGGCAAAATCCCATAGGGAGAATTTCTTTTGGGTGACCTAGAGAGCAAATTGGAACCTCTGTGAGGTTGGCATACAACCATATGTTTTCACAAGCATGTAGATTGTCTGTATACCTCTAATATATTACTCCTAACCTAAAATACATTCGATGTCAAGAGTTTAGATTTACAAATTATCCTTCAGTATTGTGAGTTGTGAGACCAGGGCATGGGTTCTCTCTATTTGAGGTATGTTTATACTAAGTACACTCCTGAAGTTGTATTGCTTAAAAGGCAGGAGGGTATAATGGATATGTTGGTAGACTAAGAGCATGTCTGTGTGTGGTAAGGAGAATGAACTGCATCTTAAATCCTGTGAGCTTGACATAATGCAACTCATTTATGTGACATAGCCATTTGGATCTTTGAACTAGCTTGATTTTATAATCATAGTCTTGGATTATAAGCCAAACATTAAGGCAATTTTTTTCTGTATTTAACACTTTCTTGTATTTTTGCCTAGTCTGTTGGGCCTCATTTTCTGTTCTTTTTTTTCTTTTAAAAATGTAATAACCACATTGATTATTAAGTAGCTTTATCAACATTATTTTACTCTGATGGAAAGCAGTATAATAATAACTATTTATAATTTTATTTAATTTGAATAAACTTATTTTTTCATGAATGTATATACATAAGTATTTGGGAAAATTTTAAGACATTAAAAAACTCAACCTCAGAGGTAGGTTCGGTATTATTAAAAGCATATGCAGTTTTGTTTTTCTGATGCTCTTGGCAATTTAATTTTGTTGATTTTTATAGAAACTTCAGACATATGCTTCATGATTGCTTAATACAAATGTTCTGAGAGCAAAGCAAAACAATTTAAGAATTGTAAGACAATGAATGTGAACATTCTACCACTCAAAAATTAGCTTTTTTATATCCATGGCATGCTAACATAACACTGAATTTTTTTATTCACATATGTTTATTTTAATATTTGCTTATGATTATTTCTCTCTTGGCTGCCAGTTTGAAATTAACTGATACTTCTTCAGTCCTATAAAGTGTTCTAAGTATATTCATTAAATTCAGATCAATGGAGATTTATAAAACATACTGAAGTATTTAAATTAAGAAGGCCAGCCAACAGGGCATAAAGTTGAATGAGTTAAAACACTATAGAAAAAGAAATTACAAAATCATCTTCAGAAGTCTTGTCTTACAATAAGCCTAACCACAAAGATGTGAAAACTAAAAAGAAGAACATCAGAAATGTCTAGCAAGCTGTTTGATTCTTTATATATTAGCATAAACAAAATTGGCAATGATATAAACTTATTTCTAATATTTAGACATTCAGAAATTAGAAACTCAAGTAAATAGTTGTTTGAGGACAGAGTAGAGCAGTATTTTTCAATTCTTTTGACCCTGAACTTACATTTACAAGTAATTTTATAGTGAATCTAATATAGTAGGTAAATCGATAAAGATGGATTTCCTATGTTTGAAGATTTTATGAGGTATTGGGGCCTCCACTTGGCTTTCCCTTATCCTTACTCTTCCTCCCCAGCAATCTTAAAGAGGTTTTCCTGAGTATCAGTTCAGAATATCTGAGGAAATTTGCTGCATGGAAGCAGAAAAAATTAAAAGGTTCAGTGAACATTGTTTCCAAAATCTAATTTACTTTCAGTGTAACAATAGAATGTCATAAGAAATTTTGTATTCTTCAACTGAATTGTTTTACATTTGGTTTCATCTCAAAATATATCTATATTCTTTCAAGACACTCTCAAACACTCATTTTACAAGAGTTGTCATTATCTATGAACTGCTTTAAGTTGGACAACTCATATTTTTCCCTTTGAAGGTAATTTGAACAGCTTGGTATAGAAGATTTATGGGAGACATGAATATATGGATATACTGAAGAAGACTAATGCAGCACGTTTATACAGTCTGAAGTTTATAGCTGCCCTCATTAAACAGGTGGTCAGAACTAGGCTGAAAGAGTTTTTGTGGCTACAATGAAAATTGTGTGCAACCCTTTAGGGTCAATCCCAAAACTAGTTAAGATGCATCATTTATGTCACAGCTTTTCATAGGCAACAATACGAAAGAATCATTAAAAAAACAATAGCTTCTGCAATATTTATTTAAATTATTATTTATTATACCGCATGTATTGGTAGTATATCTGTTTGCTAGGCCTGCCATCACAAAATACCATAGGTAGGATGGCTTAAATGACAGAAATTCATTTTTTTTAAAGTTCTGGAGGCTAATAGTCTAAGATCAATGTATCAAGGAGTGATGATTTTTTCTGAGGGCCATGAGGGAAGTACCTGTTCCGAGTGTCTGTCCTTGGCTTGTAGATGGCCTTTTTCTCCTTATGTCTTTACATTGCCTTCTTCCTTACGTCCAGTTTCCTTTTCTTATAAGAACATTAATCATATCAGATTAAGGCCCACTACAATGACCACGTTTTAACATAATTTCCTTTATAATGCCCCTCTCTTCAAACATAATCAGATTCTGAAGTACCAGAAGTTAGAACATTAATATATGAGTTTTTGGCGTGACACAATTCAGCCCCTAACAGATAATGAATTATAAATTACATTTTCTGTGTCTACCTTTTATTGATAAAAAATTTACATACAATAAAATACATCCATTCTCAGGTATAGTTTGATCCATTTTGACAAATTCATATACCCATGCATACCTATACAGCATCAAGACACAAAACATACTCATCACCCCCAAATTTCCCTCATGCTCCTTTTTATTATTCTGCCCCAAACTCAATCTGAGCTTTAGTTAAGGACTGATCTGCTTTCAGCCACTAAAGATTAATTTGCATTTTCCTATATTTCAATTAAATGAAATGATTTAATATGTCCTCTTCTGTATCTGTCTGGTTGCACTCATGGAACATTCCACTATAATCCAATATATTATCCTATCATACAGTCGTTTCCAAGTGCTTCTAGAAATTGAAATATTATCCCCTTCTTCATTCTTGATATTGGTAGCATTTTTTCTCTTCTCTCTGTATCTCATTGTTTGAAAACAGAGCCACAGGTGTGTCAATTTTTATGAATATTTTCAAATCAACATCTTAAGGTTTTATTAATTTTATTTATTGTTTATACATTTTCTATATAATTGATCCCCATTCTTCATTTTTTTCTTTCCTTATACTTACTAACTTTGGTCTTAAATTGCTAAATGGCTCCTGTTTTCCTAGACTCCTAAGGTGGAGCACACATTTTTGTTTTAAACTTTCTTTTACTAATAAAAACATTTAGAACTATAAATAATATTCCAAGAATTGCTTTAACTGCATATCACAAATTTTGATATATTCTGGGTATTTATTATCATTCAAGACACTAATTTTCCACATCATTTATTCTTTGACCCTTGAATTGTTTAGAGATGTCTTGCATAATTTCCAAATGTTTAATGCTTTTAAAATTTTATTTCAAAACTAGAATTTGTCAAGGAACATATGCTGTATTATTTTTATTCTTTCAAATGTAGAGGCTTACTTATAAAACAGCATATGATCTATCTTGGTGAAAGCTCATTTAAAAATAAAATATATCACACAATTTATGTGGTGATCAGGTAAAGGTGTTTTGTGTAATCTGGCTGATCTTTTGTTTAGTTTTTATATTAATTACTGGAACAAAGGTGATAAAATTCCCAACTGTCATGAATATTTCCCTTTAGTTCTGTCAGTTATTATTTCATGCATTCAAAAACTGTTATAAGATATATTCATATGTAATTGTTAAAACTTTGTGATACAGCTGGGCGCAGTGGCTCATACCTGTAATCCCAGCACTTTGGGAGGCCGAGGCAGATGGATTACCTGAGGTTAGGAGTTCAAGACCAGCCTGGCCAACATGGCAAAACACCTTCTCAACTAAAAATACAAAATTAGCTGGGTGAGATGGCATGTGCCTGTAATCCCAGCTACTCGGGAGGCTGAGGCAGGAGAATCGCTTGAACCCAGGAAGCGGAGGTTGCAGTGAGCCGAGATCGAGCCGTTGCACTCCAGCCTGGGCAAAAAGAGTGAAACTCCATCACACATGCACACACAGACACACACACACACACAAAGACATCAACTTTGAGATACATCAACATTTCATTATAATTTAATAACCCTGGATTACTGTCTCTAATAATATTCCTTGTATTTCAGTTTTATTTTCTGATATTAACTACTCAAGATGTTCATACTTTCTGGTTGTAGGTTATCTTTTTCCATCTTTTTACATTCAGTATACTTAAATATTATATAGTCATGAGCTGCTTAACAACAGGGATAAGTTCTGAGAAATGCATCATTAGATGATTTTGTTGTGTAAACATGATAGAATAAACATACACAAAACTAATTATACCTGTGCACACACACACACTTTGGTTCTATGGTAAGATCTATTGCTCCCAGGCAAAAAACGGAATGATGCTATACTAAATACTGTAGACAATAATGACACAATGGTATCTAAATATATATAAATATAGAAAAGGTAAGTACAAATACAGTATTAAACTTTTTAATATTCTTCTGAAATTCCCTGTTGATATCCTAGAGATATACATTTACATTATATTTTTGTGTTTGTTTTGGGTGTTAGGTTATGTTTCTTTAATTTAGTGTATTCTCCTTACACTTTATATTTAATTATTTCTGGTAAATATTAAAATGTGCTTGCAATGCTCTATTTCCGTTTATACCTTCATTCCATTATTATTTTTTCACTTGCATTTTATCTACCTGCACAACTATATAGTGCTATAATTTTTGCTTTTGCAGTTACATGATTTTAGGAAAGAAAAGGCAAAGTATATGTGTGTGCTGCGTGTGAGTGTGTGTGTGTTTATTTATTTATATTTGCCCATTGCTTACCATTTCCTGTGCTGTTCATTCATATTCATCTCACCATCTGGCATCATTTTCTTTAGCCTGATGCTTAGTTCTTTCAGCTTTTTGTTTATATGTCCATGTCTTCACATCATTTTCATTTTTTGAAAACAAATTTGCTGGATTCAAAAGTTTTAGTTGACAAATTATACTTTTCCTTTCAGAATACATTGCATGTTATTATGTTACAATTGTCTGTCATTTTAAAAAGCCATTAATCATATTGCTTTCTTCTGTAAACAAACTATTTTTGTATATAAAGGGATTTTCTCTAGTAACTATTACGATTTTTTTTTCTTAACCTTTCAGTAATACTAAGGAGTGATTAAAAAATTTTTTTAGGGAAATTTTCAGTCATTACTTTTTTCAGGTATTTTAGCTGTCTCTTTCTGTCTTCCATCATTCTGGGATTTAAATTTTGCTTAAAAATCACCTGATATTATGTTATATGTCTTTCAGGCTCATTTCAGTTTTAATTCCTTTTCCTCTGTTTTCTGGATTGAATAACTTATTTCGATTTATCTTCAAAAACCTCATTCTTTATTTGGCTATTTCCATGTCTGTCATGACTGTCTAACATTATTTTATTTCAGTTATTGTACTAGTCAGCCTTAGTGTTTCTTTTTGCAACATTTTATCTATCAAAGTCTTCTATTTGTCCCTGCATTAGGGTCTTTTTAAAAAAATAATTTGAACATACTTATAAAAGCTGCTTTAAGTCTTGTCTTGCTACCTGCAATGTCTGGATCCACTTGAAGTCAGTTTCTGCAGACTGCCTTTTATCCCAAGTACAGGTCACACTTTTCTGTTTCTTTGGATGTCTATGTAATATTGGTTGAAAACTAGACATGATGGATAAGATCAGTGACTCTAGATTCTGTCATACTTTTCAGAGGATTCACATTTTTTTGTTCTGTTTGGCATTTGACCTACTCAAACTATAAACTCTGTTTTCTTCCCTATGGTGTAGAAGTTGATACATCTGCTAATTTCTCATTTTCTGCTTATTTTATTCTAATATGATTTTACTCTGGTCCTTAGAATTTTGCCCTATAGCTGCATAGTTTGATAGTCAGCCAGCTGTTTGGGTATAGTTTATACACAGATTTTGGTCTTAGCCTCTCTTTGTTATCTTTGTTTCTATATAATGCCTCATAAATGTCTAGCTTCTCTGATTGTCTTTGTCTCTGTCTTACATCTCAAAGAGTCAGGTTTTAGATTCATACTGTCTAAGCTGTGCATAGATTTGAAATGCATTTAGTTAAAACAAAACAAAACAAAACAAAACAAAACAACAGACTAAAAAATAGCCAGTAAATGTTTGTCTTTCAGGAATACATCCTTCTCTAGATCCTATTTATGGAGGACCTTTAGAGTTCATAGTGAAAAATAGTTCAAACCTCTAGTTGTATGACAAGATGAATTATCTATTAAATATGAGGTTAACAAAATACTATTTTCAGACATGAGAAGTCTCAAAAAAATGTGCTTCCCTTGTATTCTATCTTAGAAAACTACTGAAGGATGTGTTTCCCCAAGGTGAGTGATCAGATCAAGAAAACCATGAGAACTCATCCAGGAAAAAGGGGGTCTATCTTCAGAAAGTGAGAAAGTTACCCCTGAGGGTGATAAAGAAGGATGAGTCTATATTGCATGCTGTGCACCAAAAACAGCAAGTGAGATCCACTCTTCAGAAAGAGGAAGTGATTTAATACTTGAGGTATTTGAGAGATCTAAGAGAAAATTTAAGGTACTAAGGAGAATTTGGGAATACATTAGGTTTAAAATCTAAGCATAAGCAAAAGTAAGGTCATTCAAATTTCAGGGAAGCCATGATGTTGTGCAAGAAAGGTTGATTTTAAATATTTTGTTCCGTTAACAGATGAGGAAACACAGACACTTTAAAAATGTAAGTATGTTGTGGTCAAAAAATCGACAGAATTCAAACATCTAGCCAGAGGCTGATTGTTACACACAGAAGTGTCTAATTTAATTTTTTTTCTTCTCTTGGGTAAGGTTGCTCCTTTTGAGCTATTAAAAATGGTTGCTTTTCGAGAGGCTGAGGCAGGAGAATTGCAGTAAGCAGAGATCGTGCCATTGCACTCCAGCCTTGGCTACAAGAACAAAACTCCATCTCAAAAAAAAAAATGTTGCTTTTAATTTAATTGTGCAACTCTAATCGGTCTTGAGCAAAAGCCCATCACTACATGTTATCTTTGGTTTAGTGTCAATACCGTTGCTTTCTGGTACATTTCAGTAATATTTTCCATGAAGTTTTATCCTGAGAAATTCCCAAAAATGAGACATTTTAGTGAAAAAGAGTATACTTAAATATACATTTAATGTTAACTATATGGTGAAATCATTACTCTTAATTCAACCATCTTTTTCTCCCAATTAAGTTTGTTTTGAATCTAACATAATTCCAAAAACTATTTCTTAAAGATTATTTTTTCTTATTTTCATTTAAATTTCTGAGGCTTTTAGCCTGCATAGGAAAAAAAATGTGGGAAAGTTAACTGCCTAAATGTTTTTATCGTTTTAAGGCAAAATCATAAACTACAAAAGAGACAAAGTACCAACTTTTACATACCACAAGATTATCTACTTTCAATATGATAACCAAAAGTGAATCAGCGCTGTATGTTTGGTTTACATCTGCCTTTTAAGTATTAGAAAATACTTGATTCTCTCAACCACTCCTATTTACTTCATCTTTTCAGCTGGGAAAACACTTTTCTCTGAATTGATGACTACTTATTTTTCAGCTAAAGTAAATACAGGTCTATATCTCTTTTCATTTGTGTGAGAAGCTGACACATTCTGTCACAACATAGCTTGAGTAAATGGGAAAGTGACAGCTTCCTGGCAAAATTTTAAAGAGATAAACATCTATTTTTGTTTAAACAGCCACTAAAAAATCAGATAGAAGCTTTCCAGGTTGAAAGGATAAAGAATGCATGAGCAGTGCAAATTGGTAAATTAATGCATGCAAGAAAACTTCTGATGTTTGCCTCTATGATTTTAACCACAGCACACTATTTTCTGAGATTAAATAATAAAATTTTAAGGAATAAATTCCATCAAGATAATATAATTATCAATAAAGATTCATAGATTTTTAAACAAATCCAATATTAATATACTTTGGGATATTTTCTATTTTTAAATAGCAAATATTTGCTTTTTTTACTGAAGTGTGTTCCAGTTTTAGTCAAATAATATAGTTCTAACAGTATATTACGTGATTTAAAAATGGCTCTAATAAAATTATGGTTACCTAGTCTTTATATAACACTTTTGAAATCACACATTTTAGAAAAATTTTTATAGCCAGTTTACAATTTTCACATAAACATTATTACTTTCATTCAGGCTTATTTTTCTTAGAATCTATTCACATAGTATGCCAAATTATTATCTCAGACACCAGTATTATTTATAACGCTTGTAGTTTTTCTCCTGTTTGAAAGAACTTTAAAACATAGAGCCTTATAATTTGTCATTAATTTATGTAACACAAGATGAGTGGATACGTCATAGTAAATTTAGTATAAAGAATTTAGTAAATAAGAAATTTGTGTTAATTATTGAAACAAAGTAAAATTAATGTAAGTCAGAGCTATATATTAACTCATATTTATAATTCCTGTTGATATTAATCCTCTTTATGTCACTACAAGATTATTCTTCAGCGTGTTCTTGAGCAAATAAACTGGTGTTTAATCCTGTTCACTCTCAGTTGCTCTAGTAACACTCACCAAGCACGGCACTGAAACAACAGTGGAAGTCTGCATTTCGGTCTCATCACCCTCCACACCTCCCCAGAAAAAACACTGCACATTTTTTGAAAAATAAGAATGGCAGGAGATTTCCATTTGCTGTTCACTTACAAAACAGAGATTGACAGTACTGAAAAATACTTGCATACACTGCTACTCATTAAGTAGAATCAAATATTGATAATTGATGTTATATAATTAACACAATTGGCAACTAAATGAAACAATAGCATATTCAAATTATTCCTACAGTTTGGCTAAAATGGATTTTTCATAGGAGGTGATTGAGAAAGTTTCTCAGATTACAAAATGTAGTTGCTTTAAACAAAATGATTGTATTCAACTACCAAGTAAATTTGAAATACTTTATTCCTTTAATTAAAAAAAACAACCCAAACTCTAAAATATTCACTTTTTTTGCATCTTACTGTTCAAAATTTTTTTGAATTTATATTATGGAAAAAATGTCACTAGTTTACACTTATGTAGGCATCTAAACTTGAACTTAACTGTGGACTTTGTCACTGTCCTTTTCTCTGACAGTCTTTTGGATTTACTTACACAGAAAGAATGTAGGCATGTAGTCAAGATGATCAGAGAAAAGCAGAAGTGCAATAGCAAAAATATTGACTCTGTGATGGTTAGAATTTTTGATATTTGGTCCTTAAAATTGACCTACTCTGAAGGAAGAAGCGAGAAAGTTGGGCTGGATTTAAGTAAACAGCACATTCATTTTACATTGAAGTCTCTTGATTAACAGTAGAAGACATCGCTCCTGAAAGCATCTGCAGTGTCAGTAATTCCATTAACAAAGAAGCCACTTTATTATCAACATACTGTAGATTCATTTTAATGTGTCATTTGCACTTCAAAGTCACATAACTTTTATTATGGTAAATCAATTAAAACTATTTCTCATGATAATTTATCTTCAGCAGAGTTTATCATCTCAGAGAATGCAATATTTCCCAATTTAACTTCCAAGACAAAAGTGATGTAATTTGAATGCCTTTTACTGAGCTTATTAAGCATAAAGATCACAGAAATTTCAAACCCTGAAAGATAACTGTTTCATCTATGTGATAAAATGGAAGCCACATTTTTTGTAGTGTACTATAGGTAGTGAAGACAGTATGCTAATTAGTAATATAACCTCATTTACTGATTTTCTGTGTCTCCCATTTTAAAAGATAATACAGTAAAAGCAGATAGTTGCTTTGATATTAATTTTAAAGGGAACATAAAGATTTATATAAAAACATTTTATTAAAATTGCAAATGAACTGAATTTCAGAATGATGCAGTCACCTGTTTTGTTAGTTTTAACGTCTTTGTAAGAATGTGCTCCAAAGATTTATATCTATTTCTTTTCTTTGAAAACTGCCAGGATTTTTGCACCTTTATTGAATATTCCTGAAATAAACAGCCTTAATATCCACTTGCAGCTTGAAAATGTTTGATGTAAATGAGATTTTATGGTTTTCTAAATTGAGTTATTTAAACTTAGAGGACATTTTAAAACATTTGCTCCCCTTTTTAGCTTTATAATCCAACTGAATTTAACCCAAAACTTTTGTCAATAGAGACAGAATAGAACAAAAAAATTGTAATTTATAAGTGGCAATCAAAATATGTAAGTACTCTACAAAGCAGTACAGGGTATGTTTGCTTAATAATGTGATTTTGGTAAGGTTTGTTTTATTTTACCATTAAAAACTACCAATTTAAATAGCTTTTTTTTTTCTTCTGAGATTGTATTTATTTTGTCTGGAAAATTTCATCAGGAATGGATGCATTATTCATTTTCTTATCAACATCTCCAGTTCCTCAGTTTGTTTCCAAATACTGAGAAATATGTGCCTAACAAACACTTGTATCCATTTATTTAAATTCTATGAGATTATTTCCAGCACATACAGGAGAATTAGGACTTGCAAAGTATTGGGTTACCATGTTTTACTGGAAACAGATAGAACCCCTTATTTCAACATTTGTAATGGGAAAATCTAATATTGAAGAGAATTATACATATAAAAATGACCAGAGAGTAAAATCAAGTTAATTATAATTTACTACTACTATCATTATTGCAGAGTTTAAAGTATTTCCTGAGGACCTTTGTGCTTTGGCAGAATGGTTTGAGCACTATTGAAGTTGTTGAAAATGATGAGGATTAAAGCCAGGGAGAGATAGACTCAAACTGTATCTGTGTTATATACTTGTATTAGTTTGGAAATATACAATATCACACACTTTTGTTGTTGGTGGTGGCAGTTGTGGAGAAATGGTATTAATATTATCGATTATTGTAAAAGAGTATATGTAAAGCATTTGGAATCCAGTATCTTCCTAATCAAAGAAAATACTTTAAGCTATAACTTTGATCCCCTTACACTGTCTACAGCACTAACTTAAAGATTTTTAACATCTCTGAACTTTCTAGCTATGTATTTGAAAGGAGAATTAGGTTTTCACATCAAGGTGGTCTTACGTTTGATCAATCCAGCCTTCTTTTCTTCTCACTGCCATAAAATGTAACTGTAAATATGAATCTATGCAGTCCAGATGAAAATTTGCAAATTAACTAAATTTCAAGATGATGGAGTTACTTGTTTGGATAATTTTAATGACTTTGTAGGAAATTACTTGGAAGTTTTACATCTACTTCTTATCTTTAGAAATGATCAATATTTGCTTTACTGCATTTTTCTGAAATAAGCAGTTTGAATATCCATTCACGGTCTGAAAATGTTTGCTTGAAAATGAGAAATTTATATATTTCCAAATTAGGTTTAGGTATTCTAAATTTGTCTCTACACTTTTAGATTACACCTCTCCAATATAGTATGTGTATATTTATTGAAGTATAGAGTGTATACATGAACTTCTGTACTAATAGATTATATATCTAATAAGGCATTCACATAAACATAAATTAGTAAGATATCAGTCTAATAATAGTGGCATAAAATTAATGATAGCTAATTTCCCAAAGAAAAATATACATTTTAAGGTAAGGCTATTAATGTCCATGAGTGTAAATCTAATTTTCAAAACTATATTTCTGATAAAATTAAATTTTATTTATAAAAGTTATTAGATACAGTTATGCCACGAATGTTTTACCTCAGAATGAGGCAGACAAAGATAGCTTTGAGCAGTAAATTGTCTACTCCAACTATAATCTTGTTTTCTGCCTGTGCTTAAATCCTTGAGATTATTAACAACCCATATGTTGTAGAAATCTTTTTTAACTTACTTGTCCATTTTATGTGGGTTAGTTTAGTTAAAACTGAGTGATTAACTCTTACATCTATTAATTATGGAACTATACATGAAATATTCCTCAGTACCTGAAGCCCGTGAAGATGCTCCTTCAGCTCTTCTACGTTGAAGAAATTCTGCTTTTCTGCCAAATCCTCCATCATAAAGGCAACAACTGATGTGAAATAGACCAGAGTAATATTGACATGTCAATTAGTGCACTAAAGCCTTAAACAACTCAATGGTTATATTTTAAAAATAAAAATAAGTAGAAATAGACATTCTAACACTTTCTTTATAAGTCTATGTAGTTTGCTTTGCACAACCCCTGGAATGTTTTAATTCTGCTTTGAAATGAAATCATCGGATGCTTCTATTTGAATGCTGAGGTTCAATTTTCTTTGTCCAGATACCAGAACACAATACAAGAATTCTTACCCCTGGGAGAATGATCTTCCTCATTCATTGTTAACATGTTCAAACGCCTTGGCATTGCAGTTCTGTGTATCCAGTTATTTCAGTTCCCACTGCAATCATATTCCAGGGAAGCTGCCAACCAGAAGAGTCCTGACTCAGAACTGGTTACTTGCTTGAAACCTTAAAGGGTTTTGTTTCTCCCTTGGAGAATCACATCTAGCTTTTTTTTTTTTAAGTAAGATTGCACATGTATAATTCTGTAACAAATCTGCACGTTCTGCACATGTATCCCAGAAATTTAAGTAAAATTTTTTTAAAAAGTTTTTTTATTATCTCAATGATTTAAGAGTAAATATCCTGAAGTGTACCATGTTCTTAGAATAAATTCAATTGATTCTAGGAAGGCAGAGACAGAAGGTGAATGAGGTTAGGAATTTGATAGAGTAAGATGCTGGCTTCTTTAGAGTGAGAGAGTAAGACTTTTCCCCTTCAAAGTACAGCTGGGATTTCTCTGTTGGTCACATGGGATTGTAGAGGAGTAGGCTAAATGAATGCAATGGAAGAAAAGAGATTTCACAATTAATCACACTTAAAAGCAACATTAGGTCTTTGTAAACCCATGTTTTACTAGAAGAGAATGTGTATTTTATTTATTTGTGTTATTACTAGTGAAAATGAGTTGGCCTTAAAATGTATAGCTTCTAGAAGAAAGACCGCTTGCATATTAGCAAATTGTGAAAGATCCAAACCAGAGTAGCCCAACTATACCTGGCAATTTATGTGGTGCCCTTCTGTGCACAGACTGAGATTTACTTTCAAAGATTATTTGTATAGTTTGCCTCACATCACTTTTTAATAATTAAAACAAAGGTTCTTTTTATCTTCAGTTCCATTCCATTCCTATTTAGAACCAAGGAAAGACTCCTTAAATTACTCAAAGCGTGTAATATATGCTTCCAATTGATCCTCCACTTTCCTACTCAAAAGACCCCATTCTATGAATTCAATGGTTACATTTTTTGTTTGTTTGCTTGTTTGTTTTGTAGTTGTCATTGTTAAAGGGAAGATCTTCTAAATGATTCCAATATGTCACTACACTAAGGTGGCACATGAAGGATCATTGGTCATCAGAGGATGCTCTTTATGTATCCTCCCTCAGGGAAACTGTCCTTAGTGAGTACAAAATTATATTGTATCATATACTCATAAACGAGTACAAATGTGATTTCTGGAAGAATCAATATAGGAGAAAGAGAATCCAAGAAAGGTTTTTGTCATCACATAGGGCAACAGTGACAATCTAGAGACCAGGATAACCTACACATTTGACCCATATGTATGACCCTTTGCTCCACAAGACATTTTCTTTATTCTAAGACTATGGAAAAGGTTGAAAGGCTGGGTATAAAGCTTCTGAAAGTCAAAGCAAAATCTCCTAGAGTATAAAAGATAGGTGTTTAAAAACCAAAGATCCACTGTTGCAATTGGTGGGGGGAATGAAGACCTTAAACAAAGATGATTTTAAAGTCCTAGACTCTGAGGAACTATAGTCACTTTTCCCCTGGAGGTAACTTCCTGATTCCATGTGTATGTAGAGATCAAGAATCAAGACTTGGTCTCTGACAGAAGAGGGACTGATAAATCAGCAGAGATTTTGCATTTTCTCATGTTTACAGAAATAAAATTTGTGACTGAATTGGCCAGAAACATGTGGCACATCTGTTAATCAAGATATTTGCCAAATTTTGAAGATGAACTAAACTGAAAACTTCTTGAAGACATAACTGAATATCTTATTGTCTTTCCAGGGCAAGGAAACAAAATAATAGCAATTTCTAGGAACAGAAATAAACGACTGCAATCCAGTGTCAATCCACCAATATCATTGATTAGGTTGAGAATATCAATTTAATACTTTTTTTAAAAGTCTAAAACCAAATGGATAATGATGGACTTGAGACAATTTTTCTGGTTTTAGCCTATTATCTGAGATAGGTGGGAGACATTGGAGACTTCTTACCAAATAACTCAATAGATGAAATAGGAAAAATAATTCACCTGCAGGAATAATTATTGGAGATATTTATTCATGTTACCCTTGGATATTAGTAGATATTTTTCAAAGTCCTATAATCATTAATATATAAAAGAGTAATTAAATAGTATCACCAAAAATACCAACAATAGATGAATTTACAGTTATACTTTAGCAAATATTCAAGAGCTAGGTCATTTTACTTTTCAGACAAAATTATACACAAATGCTCAAAAAACAAAGCGAAGGATTAACTTCTAAATCTCTTTATGCTACCTGAATCCAACAAGAGTAATACAAGAAAAAAAAGGATCAATTTCCGCTTATACCAATCACATTTTCTATATTCTCTTTCAAGGATTTAGAGCCTAGAAGTGATGCAAGATTTTTCTTGGCCACTTTGCCAGCCGGGAACCTCCACTGCTGGTGACACCCCCCATCCAGGCCTCACTTGGTCCAGGACCTGCCCAGGAGGTGCTCACCCAATCGGCTCACCAGGCTGCACCTGGATCATGCACTGGCTCAGCCTGCAACTGGGCTGGGTGTGCACTCATACCCGGGTTTGGGGGTTCCCGAGTTCTTTTCTCACATCCAAGAAGAATGAGATTACACTGACGATTGAAGGGTAATGAGGACAGAGAAGAATTTTATTGAGTGATGGAACAGCACTCAGTGGAGAGGGAACACACCAGTGGTTCCCTACCCGAAGTTTGGTGGTCTCTCTCTGCGTATGACTGGGTCCAGGGCTTTTAACGGGGGAGTGCAGGCTGATTGATTTGTGAGTATGCAAAAAAAAAAAAAAAGGCTGAAACAAAGGCACCACTTAAAGGTGGGCATGGCAGTATAAAAATCCAAATTAGGGAAGAGTTTTAAAGATTGGGTTTCACTGGGGACTCACTCCTGTCTGCCTAGGATTTGTCCGCCTACTGCCACTGTCATAATTATAATGGTATCGTAAAACAAACGTATATGAAAGCCAGTGGTATGGTTTGCCTGAGTCCCTACCCAGGTCTCTTCTTGAATTGTAGCTGCCATAATTCTCATGTGTTGTGGGAGGGAGTCAGCAGGAAATAATTGAATTGTGAGAGCAGTTTCTCTCATACTATTCTCCTGGTAATGAATTAATCTCGTGAGATCTGATGGTTTTATAAGGGGAAACCCTTTTGCTTGGCTCTCATTCTGTCTTGCATGCTGCCATGTAAGACATTCCTTTCACCTTCCACCAAGATTTTGAGCCACCCCACTCCAGCCACATGGAACTGTGAGTCCATTAAACCTCTTTTTCTTTATAAATTACCCAGTCTCAGGTATGTCTTTATCAGCAGTGTGAAAATGGACTAATGCAGTAAACTGGTAGAATGGGCTGCTGCTGTAAAGATACCTGAAAATATGGAAGCAATTTTGGAACTGGGTAACAAGCAGAGGTGGGAATAGTTTGGAGGGCTCAGAAGAAGACAGGAAAATGTGGGAAAGTTTCGAACTTCCTAGCGACTTGTTGAATGGCTTTGACCAAAATGCTGATAATGATATAGACAATGAAATCCAGGCTGAGGTGGTCTCAGATGGAGATGAGGAACTTGTTGGAAACCGGAGTAAATATGACCCTTGCTATGTTGTAGCAAAGAGAATGGCAGCATTTTGCCTCTGCCCTAGAGATTTGTGGAACTTTCAACATGAGGGAGATGATTTAGGATATCTGGTGGAAGAAATTTCTAAGCTGCAAAGCATTCAATGGTGACTTAGATGCTGTTAAAAAGCATTCAGTTTTAAAAGGAAAACAGGGCATAAAAGTTCAATAAATTTGCCGCCCGATGATGCGATAGAAAAGAAAACATTTTCTGAGGAGAAATTCAAGCTGGTTGCAGAAATTTGCATAAGTAGCCAGGAACCAAATGTTAATCACCAAGACAATGGGGAAAATGTCTCCAGGACATGTCAGAGATCTTTGCAGCAGCCCCTCCCATCACTGGTCCAGAGGTCTAGGGGGAGAGAATAGTTTTGTGAGCCAGGCCCAGGGCCCCACTGCTTTGTGCAGCCTAGGGACTTGGTGCCTTACGTCCCATCCACTCTAGCCATGGCAAAAGGATCCAGGGTACTGCTTGGGCCATGGCTTCAATGGGTACAAGCCCCAAGCCTTGGCAGCTTCCACATGGTGTTGAGCCTGCAGGTGCACAAAATTCATGAAATGAGGTTTGGAACCTCTGCCTGGATTTCAGAGGATGTGTGGAAATGCTTGGATGTCCAGGCAGAAGTTTGCTCCATGGGCAGGGACCTCATGGAGAACCTAAGCTAGGGCAGTGCAGAAGGGAAATGTGAGGTTGAAGCCCTCACGCTGAATCCTCACTGAGGCACTACCCAGTGGAGCTATGAGAAGACGGCCACCTTTCTCCTGACACCAGAATGGTAGATCCACTGCTAGCTTGCAGTATAAGCCTGGAAAAGCCACAGACACTTAATGCCAGCCTGTGAAAGCAGCCAGGAGGGAGGCTGTATTCTGCAAAGCCACAGAAGCAGAGCAGCCCAAGACCTTGGGACCCACCTCTTGGATCAACGTGACTTGGATGTGAGACATGGACTCAAAGGAGATCATTTTGGAGCTTAAGATTTGACTGCCCCACTGGATTTTGTACTTGCATGGAGTCTGTGGCCCCTTCATTTTAGTCAATTTCTCCCATTTGGAATGTGTGTATTTATCCAATGCCTGTATCCCATAGTATCTGGGAAGTAACTAACTTACTTTTGATTTTATAGTCTCATAGGTGGTAAGGACTGGACTTGTCTCAGATGAGGCTTTGGACTGTGGACTTTTGAGTTAATGCTGAAATAAGACTTTGGGGGACTGTTGGGAAGACATGATTGGTTTTTAAATGTAAGGACATGAGATTTGGAAGGGGCCAGGGGTGAAATGATATGGTTTTGCTGTGTCCCCACCAAAATCTCACCTTGAATTGTAGCTATCATATTTTCCACATATTGTGGGAGGGATCCAGTGGGAGATAATTGAATCATGGAGGTGGTTCTCCCATACTGTTCTCCTGGTAGTACATAAATCTCATGAGATCTGGTGATTTTATAAGGGGTTTCCCCATTTGCTTGGCTCTCATTATCTCTTGTGTGCTGCCATGTAAGATGTTCCTTTTGCCTTCTGCCGTTATTGTGAGACCTCCCCAGCCACGTGGAACTGTGAGTCCATTAAACCTCTTTTTCTTTATTAGCCAGTCTCAGATATGTCTTTATCAGCAGCATGAAAATGGACTAATACAGCCAGCTTGTAGTTACAGATTGTCTAAATATTCCAAAGATTTGTTCCTGTCCACCTTGTTTCAAAGTCGGAAATAGCACAAAATATTTTTTATCTCTCGTTAATCGATTTTTCAGAGGATATAAATAACCCTTTGATGTCCTAGTTTTATAGAGATGTCTCCTATTAGAGATTTCATCTTATTTAGGTCTGGGGATTTATTTCTTTTTCCCCTGTAGTCTTTAAAATAATAATCAAAACAGAAGCTCAGGTTCTCCAGTATACATCAGATACCCTCAGATCGCATAATTATGATAAAAAGTAGTTTTGGTTCTTATTGGACTTTCAAGGTTCCCCTTTAGAGAGCTCTACATAGATCTTACTTTTTTTTTGGTCAAGCTACCAATTTTATTTATATGTAAAAATTTTTGAGTATCTTTTTCGGAATTTGTTTTCAATGTGGAGAGTAACATGAGATATGTAATCTCTCAACTAGGTATTATACACGAAGCTGGGATTTGAAGCCACTAAAAGTCCCAAGAACAAAAACAGTAGACTGTATCAGTACAGAGAAAAAAAACTTGTACTTTTAAACTAATTCAACACATTTTAAAACTGTATCA